>NT_167249.2:2654892-2847889 GCF_000001405.40 Homo sapiens | reverse complement strand
GTAGCTCAGTAATGTAAAGGGACAAATGACAGCCACATGCCAACTTGGTTAACTCCTTCCCTAGGTCCTGATGACCAAATAACCAGCTTATTTCTCAACTATTGGTTGGCTTTCATTTCAGGTCTGGTCAGCTGCTTATGACCTTGTTCCCCACTGAGCAGACTCACCATCTGGGCCCTGGCGGGCAGCAGCATGCAGTGCCGTGTCCCCATGGCGGTCCTGGTGGGCAGGGTCAGCCCCGAGCCGAAGCAGCAGGCACAGGGCAGGGGCATCGTGGCGGGCACAGGCCCGGTGCAGTGGTGGGGGCTGCCCAGCATCTACATCGAGGCCTGGGTGTCGCTGGAGGAGGGCCTGGGCCCGGACCAGCCGTCCTGCAGACAAGTAACGACGAAAGCGACGTTCTCGGCGTTGGCGGCGGGAAGTGGAGGCCATGGAACTCTTGGGCTGGGGAAGGAAAAAAGGCAGCAGTCAGGACTTCAGCCTTGGCTGGTCCTTCTCCCTCCATCTCTGACATCCCCTGTTGTTTCTCCCTTTGGTTCCGTCTTTTTTTAATATCTTCAGCAAGAGATGAGGCCTAACCTAACCCTGATCCTTTATCAGATGATAGATTTGAAAAAAAATTTTTTTTGAGGGGGGTGATAGGATCAGAGGTTTAATTTTTTTAATGTAAAATTCGAGAAAAGGGTAAATAATTGGTTTAAGGCTCAGGAGCCCAGGTAAATTTTTAATTTTTAACAAAGAACTTTAAAAAAACCCAACAGGGCCGGATGGGGAAAATTTTTATCAGCAGAAATCTGAGTTTTAAAAAGTCACAGATAATCTCCAATAATGATCTAGAAATTGAATATCATGTACCCGGCAGACAGATGTGGAGGCTTCTTCCTCTGGAACCTGGGGGGAGGGGTTACTCATCAGACCTGCCCCCGCCCCCCCAAGTACCCCCAGAGCCGTAGGCCCAAGGCCTGTGTTTAAGAAGCTCGGAGACGGGAGGCGGGAAGGGCGGAGACACTCCAGGCTGGAGGAAATGGCGCAAGCAGAGACGCAGGTGGAGGACGGAAGTGAACTGTGAGGGGCGTTACCGGATGTCGTTCCGCCCCGACCGGGTAGTTCTTGGCCAGATCTCCCAGGGGAAACTAGGGAACTTAAATTAAAGGGGCCGTCTGAAACCAGAAGACTGGACTGGAGGCGAGGAAAAGGAGGCGAGGGGAGGGGAGGGAGAAAAGAGAGTTATTTGGAGGTTTTTTCCCGCCTCCTCTAACTTGGCAGAGAGAGGAGATGGTTCAGTGATGGACGAAAAGATGAGAAGACAGAGAAAATAGAGGAGATAAAGACAGGATAAAAATCACATTAAACATGGAAAACAAAAACAAAAACCACAGTGGGACAACAACAGGGACAGATCAAAAAAAAGAAAAAATACAGACAAAAGACGGAAGAAGACTATCGTAGGATGGGGCAAGTGAGATGCAAAAATTTGGACTTGAGAAATATGTAGAAAAAGATGGAGATGTTAACAACGGGAGGCAGGGGAGGGGGCGGGATGGTGGAGAGAGAGAGAAAGGTAGAGAGTTAGTTTAGAATTAAGCCCAGAATGCTCTTTTCCCAACACAGGTTGCATGATGACATCCTTACCTTTTCACCGCATTCACAACCCTTTATGCTTCCTCTGTTACCACCAATCAAGTTCTCCTTCTCTCACCTCAGTACTCCCCCGTCTCCGCCCCTGCCTCATCCCTAGACCTTTCCGACTGGGATGGCTAACCTGTTGTAAGCCCGCAGCTTTGGGCCTGGTCTCTGCTGCTCCCAGGCGGCCCCTTTGGGTACTGCCTGAGCAAGAAGTGCTGGAGAGGAGGACCAGTCATCAATAGGAGGATGAGATTGGGAGAGACACTCGGTGCAGGAGGCTGAGTGAGCAGGGGAGCACTAAGACCCAGGGGTAGTGGAGGACTGCAGCAACGAGCTGGAGGAGGAGAAGTAAGCGGTGGGGGGTGGGAGCCATCTGGTACTTTGACAGCATTCAAAACAGCATCGGCCATAACAACAGAAATGGCCAGTCAGTCCCAAGGTATCCAGCAGCTTCTGCAAGCTGAGAAGCGGGCAGCTGAGAAGGTGGCAGATGCCAGAAAGAGTGAGTCTCCTCTTTCCTCCCTTAGGAGTTTGGAAAGAAAATTGGGGGTGGGGGACAGCAAACATTTTGGGAAAACCCAAGGCTGGCGGGAAGACAGACAGCTAGGGTCTGGAGGCTGGTTAGGAGGGAAGAAATGGATGGATATTAGAATCTGGCACCTGGTTGGCTGAGAGAAGGCTGTATAACTTTCTGGAAGGGACTGACTCCTGCTATTACATTGTGTGTGTGTGGGTCCATCCCCACTCACTGTCCTTTCTTCTGCCTCCAGGGAAGGCCCGGCGACTGAAGCAGGCAAAGGAGGAGGCACAGATGGAGGTGGAGCAATACCGCAGAGAGCGAGAGCACGAATTCCAGAGCAAGCAGCAGGCGGTGAGTTGAGGCAGAGTCGGGTTGAGACCCCACTGCAAGTTGGTGGGTGCATCTAGTGAGGTGTGTAAGGGTGACTCAACAAGAAAATATGGTGGCAGAGGGCTGAGGCTGAGGGGACCCTGGCAGGGACCACAACATTGGTGAAACTTTGTGATGATATGTAGGAGAGTCTGGGAGTTTTGAAGGCCACATAGAGCTTGTGGGCGGAATGCCACAGTCTGTGTAAAGTATAACATCTATGTGGAGTATGATTAACATTTGTGGTGGAGGGTAGAGTTTTATGGTCATGGATGGTGAGGTGGTGGGGATATTACGGTCTGTTTTAGGATGAAGTTGCATGTTAGGTCTAAGGGGAAAGGGGACTGTGTTGATCTCTTTGGTGTTGGGATATTTCTGTGGGATGGGGGTGGTTTCTGAGAGGGCCTTTCTTCTAGGCTTTGTTTCAGGATCTTTCCCCTCATATGCCTGGACCCTTGTCTGTTTCTGCTTTTCCCTTTCTCTCTTCCACCCCTCTCCCTACCCCCCAGGCCATGGGCTCCCAGGGGAACCTGTCTGCTGAGGTGGAGCAGGCTACAAGGCGCCAGGTGCAGGGCATGCAGAGCTCCCAGCAGAGAAACCGAGAGCGTGTCCTGGCCCAGCTTCTTGGCATGGTCTGCGACGTCAGGCCCCAGGTCCACCCCAACTACCGGATTTCTGCCTAGGGCCACCGTAGGGCCTGACTCCTTCTGCCAGTTCCCTCCCTCAAAGAAATCCTCCAATCAAAATCACCTCCCACCATAATCCCTGTCTTCTTTCCATCCCCTAGAAATCCTGGGAGGCAGGATCCAATAATTTTCCTGTGACACTTATAAATATCCTGCTCACATCTGAATCTCCTTGTTGTTCTTTAACCCTCACTGGGACTTTGTAAACTTCCAAGTCATTCTCACCTAAACCCTCTGTGAAATTTGTAATATGGGGAAGTAGGAATGTGGAAAACATCCTGACTTCAGTGTCTGGCCGATGTGGGTCCCTCTCTTGACCCTGTCACTTGCTGGCTGTGAAACCAGGACAAGCTACTTAACTTGGTAGCCTCGATGTCCTCCTCTGTGAAACTGGGATGATAATAATGCCTACCTTGTGAGGGTTGCTTCAATGATTAGGAATCATTCTGTAAAGTCTAGCACAGTTCCTTGCATGTTGTAGCAGTGATTCAGTAAGTAGCAACCCTGTGATACTATTACCACCACCTGCTCACTGGTCAAAACCTACACAGCTGTTTCCTCACGTCCATCACTGGCTCTCTAATTCCACTTGTTCATTCTGTGACCCTAGTTATTTTCTGAAAAATTGGTTCTTCTCTTTTCCCAGAGACCTTCTGATCTCCAAAAAGAGGAGATGACTACATTTAGCCCCTCTCTTATAATTCCAGGTAGATAACTGCATTTTGTAGCCTCTCTTTGTTTTTCTTTTGCTGATCTTTGTCTTTATTAGATTTTCCTCCTTTCCTATTTCCCCAAAGACTTATCAGATGCTCATTGCTTTCTAAGATCTAAAATGATACTGTGTTCCCTCATATGCATGCCCTTCCTTTCTATATCCTTGACACCTTACTTTCCCATTGTAACAATAAAAAAAGTATCAATAAAATAATTATTGGCAAATAAATTGGTGAGTTGAAGCAGCCTCCTTTTGCCTCATCATTTCTCATTTTCAGTCACTTTGTTTTTTTTTTTTTTGAGATGGAGTTTTGCTCTTGTTGCCCAGGCTGGAATACAATGGCGTGATCTCAGCTCATTGCAACCTCTGCCTCCCAGGTTCAAGCGATTCTCCTGCCTCAGCCTCCCAAGTTGCTGGAATTATGGGTGTGTGCCACCACGCCTGGCTATTTTTTGTATTTTTAGTAGAGATGGGGTTTCGCCATGTTGGTCAGGCTGGTCTCAAACTCCTGACCTCAAGTGATCCACCTGCCTTGGCCTCCCAAAGTGCTGAGATTAGAGGTGTGAGCCACTGTGCCTGGCCTTCAGTCACTTTCTTGTTTTTTGTTTACATATTCCCTAAACAGCCCAAATGGCTATCCTTTGAAACTTCTTGGAGAAACAAGAACAAGTAGTACTTTATTATTTCTCTAAAGTGAGAAACATGGTTCCTCATTTGGGAATCTGAGGACTATAGATCGCAACTGTAGAGAAAAGCTGGAGTGTAGGAGCAAGTGCTCTTTGCCCCTTTACCTTGCATTTTCTTCATAGCACTTACTGCTACTGGTTTTTTGAGACAAGGTCCTGCTGTGTTGCCCAGGCTGGAGTTCCAGCTCACGGCAGCCTTGACCCCCTGGACTCAAATGATCCTCCCACTTCAGCCTCCTGAGTAGCTGGGATTACGGGCGAGTGCCACTATGCCTTGCTAATTTTAAAATTTTTTGTAGAGATGGGGTCTCACTTGCCCAGGCTGGTCTGAAACTCCTGGGCTCAAGCAATCCTTCGGGCTCGGCTTCCTCAAGGGTTGGGTTACAGGCCTGAGCCACTGCACCCTGACCACTTATCGATACTTGACATTATATTTGTGTTTATGTGTTTTCTTTCCTGTAATGTAAACACTGTGAGAACAGGGCTGTTCACCGTTGTGTCCCCAGATCCTAGGACAACATGTGGCACAAGGGAGGCAGTTGATAAATACTTTTGAATAAATTAAATGATACTTGGGAAAATACCTTCTATGACACCATTCTTGAATTAGTTACTTCATTTGTCACTGAAGACAAGCTTACTTCACCAAGAATTTGAACCAATAAGGTAACCTGCAGTGTATTTACTAACCAGATTCTTTGAGCAGGGAGGCAGAATACAATAGAGAATGAGAGATGTTTGCATCCTGGCTGTAACCTCACCAGCCGTACTGCTTGAGATATGTTGCTTTGCTTCGCTTCTGTCAATAAGATGAGAATAACGGTACCTACTCCTTAGTATTAAATGATTAAGTATGTTAACAGGGAGAGGGCCAAACGTTTGTTGTTTTATTACACAGCAGGACATCAGGTCTTACTTTTGTAGCTCCCCATCTCAAAGACGGGGATAGCAAATGTTTCATTCAGGAAAAAAATCCAGGTTGAACAATGGGGCTGTTGGGGCGGGGCCAAGAACATTCTGCTCGAATTAACAGTATTAATGGGCCGGGCGCGGTGGCTCACGCCTGTAATCCCAGCACTCTGGGAGGCCGAAGTGGGTGGATCACCTGAGGTCATACATGGGTGAAGCCCCGTCTCTACTAAAAAAACAAAAATTTGCTGGGCGTGGTGGCGGGCGCCTGTAATCCTAGCTACTCGGGAGGCTGAGGCAGGAGAATCGCTTGAACCCGGGAAGCAGCGGTTGCAGTGAGCCGAGATCAGGACATTGCACTCCCGCCTGGGCGACAGGGCGAGACTCTGTCTCAAAACAAAAACAAAAACAGTATTAATGGAATGTAGTATAACCCTCAAGCCCTACTATTAACACTTGGGGCCGAATCCAGACCCCGTCTTCCCGCTCGGATTCAGAACACCTTCCTGACTCACTGGCCCTAGGGCATCAGCTACCTCGGACAGCATCCTTTTGGGAAAATACCGCCCACCAGCCCCACGACTGGGAAAGAGTCGGGAAACACCCCCGAGCAATCCAGTTCCCTGAGACTTCCCTCCTCCCTCCCCTCAGCTAGGGCCTGCCGGTTCCTAGTGCGTGCCCAGCAGTCCTCAGGTCACCTTCACTACCGGGCCAAGGACCCCGTGGGAACTCGCAGCCTTCGCCACACTCGTTCCTCGCGCATCCATGGAGGGGTGCCTACAGAGAAGACCTGCGTGGCAAAAACCTAAACGAAGAGATGAGGGGCATGGAGAGGAGTAGGATAAGAGAATAAAGATAACAGTGGGGGGGAGACGTTAGTTTCCTTTATATCTTTTGTTACTGGCGGTAGCAGTGAAGTTAGAAACGGTTTTAAAACAAATTTCAGACAGGCATTTTCCAAAGGCAAGCCTGGAGCGCACGGATCTGTATAACCGCGGAAGGCCCTGTTTCCGGTCCCTTGCGCCTGCGCTCTTGCAGCCAAGAAGGCGGGAGGCTGGAGTAGAGGGAAGCCTGCAACCGGAAGTGAAGGCAGATTTCCCTCCTTCGTCGCTGTTGCTGCCGCCATACGCGCTCTCCCTGTTTAGGTAAGCTTTGGCCTTCGCTACAATCCGTTTCCATCTGCGCTTCTCCGCACCCATCCCGTCACATGGGTTCCTGATACCCTTTTCACAGGCGATGGTCTGGTCGCTGGGGCCTAGTTGGTTCGCTATTTCCTTAGCTTGCATCCCTTTCGAGAGCAAAGAGCTCCTGGGGGAAGGAAGGGAAGCTAAGGGGGGACCCAATCCAAGATGGTGTCCTCGGCGCCATTGTGTTCGTTTTGCTCCCTTCTTCCAATGGGTTCTTCTCATATTGGAGGCCTCAGCATCAATGAGAGGCGGCGCTCGGCGTCCCTTGGTCTTGGTATTTGCGGAGGGCGGGGCTCTTCTCACCTTCCTTGTCCTTTCTTGAGCTCTTTCTCGGCCCTCGGTGGGACTGGGAGGAGGAGCTGGTTTCTGGGCCCAGTTGGATTTTTCTCACCTTGACTTGCCCAACTTAATTTGGAGTGCCTTCCAAGTGTTTACGATACGATTGGTGTCATTGTATGTTTCTCCAAAAGGAGTCTCACCTTCGTAGCGTAACAGTGATGTGAGACCACTTGGTAAAGATCCTGTTAAAGCCTGGGCGGGGATTGCCTTTCTCTGTCACCTATTAGCTTTCTTATTGTAGGGTGGAGACATGAATTTTGTTTTTTTGTGGCCGAGCCATTTGTCTTGCACCGCCCCTCCCCCCCATGCTAATTACACAAGGCTTGCTTAAACAGCGGAAGGGAGGATACTGAGAAGTGGGAGGCTGAGAGCTATGGGAGGTGGACGGCGGCCATATGATGTTTTCTTTTCGAAAGGTGAGCGCTTTGCGCAGTGATGACCCTCATCTATCACCCTTGACTGATGGCTGCTGAGTTAGGCATCCATAACGGTGGGATTATAATAGGGAAAGCGGAGTCTTCCTTTGAGGACTTTTCAGGACTCTACTTGTCATCTCCATTTTCCACTTTACTAAGTTATTAGTCGTATTTTACCTTTTATTATCTATTCTATTTCCTCACTGTTACTTTCAGATCAAGAATTTATAAGTTGGTCTTCCCCTTCCAACTTTTCTGGTTTCCGCTACTGTGATTGCTAATCTTGTTGGGAACCTCTGTCCTAACCACTTTCCCTGGTACTGCTTTTTCTGTTCTGTTATATTTGCTTTTCGTTTTTATGTTTTGTATCTGTTTTTCTTTCCAGGTAAAAGTTTCCTGGTTTAGGGAAAGTGGGAACTGGGGATGGAAAAGAGGTGGTGAAGGCTGTGCTCGTGATTAAGTCTTGCTTTTTTTTTTCCCCCCTCCAGCTCTTCTGTTAGAAATAGTATCTTTGTTTTCCTTTGCTGTTCCTCAATCCCCTACTCTTCACCCCTTGTTTTCACCTATTTTGCGAGAACCCATCCAGATCCCCCTTCCCTTCTTCCCCTGCCGGCCCAGTTATGGCAGAGAACGATGTGGACAATGAGCTCTTGGACTATGAAGATGATGAGGTGGAGACAGCAGCTGGGGGAGATGGGGCTGAGGCCCCTGCCAAGAAGGATGTCAAGGGCTCCTATGTCTCCATCCACAGCTCTGGCTTTCGTGACTTCCTGCTCAAGCCAGAGTTGCTCCGGGCCATTGTCGACTGTGGCTTTGAGCATCCGTCAGAAGGTAAATTTTCTCTTGGGCATGTAGTGCTCATTGGGCTCTTTAAGGGTACAATACAAAGATGTGTTTGTCGTTGCTCAGGTGGTGGTAAGGGTTTATACTTAAGGCTAGATCAGGGCCAGGTGCAGTGGCTCACGCCTGTAATCCCAGCACTTTGGGAGGCCGAGGCAGGAGGGTGGCCACTTGAGCTCAAAAGTGCAAGAGAAGCCTGGGCAACACAGCGAGACTCCTGTCTCTACAAAACGTTCAGAAATTAAGCAGGTGAAGGTTGAGGCTTCAGTGAGCCGTGATTGCACCACTGTGCACCAGCCGGGGCGACAGTGAGGAAGAAAAAATCAGGGGATAAGTATCAAAAACAATTTTGGATAGAGGAGGCTTATACAGGCTTATTCTTTCTTTCGTGATAGCACCAAAGTGCTAATGATCCAAAAGTGACTTCCAGGTCTGCCATTCATTCTTGTGACTGGCTTTTCTTGTCTGCTTATTTTTAATTTTGTCACTTGACTTCTAATTTTAAATTTCCAGAAAGGTCCTGCTTGGACCTGTAGTCTCCCTCTGTTGGGCCAGGCCAACTGTGGTCTCTGGAAACCTCTATGACTGGTTTAGAGATGACTGGCTTCTGGGTCAGGTACCAAGTCCTTCATTTTGTCCAGGGTTGTAGTAGTTACGTGACCCGAAGTATAGCAACCTAAGCAGGAGAAGTGGTCTGTGGCAGGTATTCAAATGTCATGAATTGTTACAGATTAAGAAAAATAAGGACAGAGCTAGGATCATTGAAGGTGAGCGGTTGGTAGATGCAAGGGGTTTGTTACTAGGACTGGGAAGGCCTAGATCTGGAGGAGGCTAAAGCTAGGAGGAATTAGGAGAGTCTGATTTTGAGGTGAATGTAATTGAGCAGAGAGAGGTAAAATGGGTCTGGAAGTTGGCAAGAACCAGGTAAATACTAGACTTTGAGAATTGAGTGGTAAGAAATGGGCTTGGCATGGTGAAAAAGGTAGAGTTATCTGGAGACTGAAGTCTAATTTATCTTCCTCCCCCCCCAACTTTTAGTCCAGCATGAGTGCATCCCTCAGGCCATTCTGGGAATGGATGTCCTGTGCCAGGCCAAGTCGGGCATGGGAAAGACAGCAGTGTTTGTCTTGGCCACACTGCAACAGCTGGAGCCAGTTACTGGGCAGGTATATTTGGGGAGAGTGCTGGGGAGGGGATTTTGGTTAGGACTATAAGGGAAGGGTGTTTTTGTCCTAGCTACATGATGCTTGCAGAGCCATGAGCACATGACCTCTGTTACCCTTGACAACCTGACAGCTGTGGGGGATGTTCTGTCGCAAGCGTGGGGTTCATGATTTAGATCACATAATTGAAGTCATTTATTATCGGCCCAGGTGTGTTTTTGTGACAGTCACTTCCCTAGAGGGGATAATGAAGAGCTACATTTACCATATGTCTCCGTCTACTTCCTGCCTAAGGTGTCTGTACTGGTGATGTGTCACACTCGGGAGTTGGCTTTTCAGATCAGCAAGGAATATGAGCGCTTCTCTAAATACATGCCCAATGTCAAGGTAAGCCAAGGTAAAGAGACCTGAGAGTGAGGGTGTGGCAAGTTGGAGGGATAAGAAACTTGTAGGCCAATAGTCTCTTTAATTTTGGAGAAGCTTTAGTTTGCTGTGGTGTAACAGAGTGTTGAGTTCCTATGTAACAGGAGGATTCGTAATTGGGCTATGGATGATGCTTAACACAAGACCACCCTTTTCTTACTACTTTATACTGACTTTGAATCATATCAGTTTAATAATTTTGGGGTATGTGGCAGAGAAAGCCGGAAACTTTAAAACAGCTCCAGTGGTGTGTGAATATTGAGGATTCTGGCCAAGTGCACAATGGCTTACACCTGTAATCTCAGCAGTTTGGGAGGCCAAGGCGTGTGGATTATTTGAGGTCAGGAGTTTAAGACCAATGTGGCCAACAGGATGAAACCCTCTCTCTACTAAAAATGCAAAAATTAGCCGTGCATGGTGGCACACACCTATAGTCCCACCTGCTTGGGAGGCTGAGGCAGGGGAATCGCTTGAACCCAGGAAGCAGAGGTTGTAGTGAGCTGGGATTGTGCCATTACACTCCAGCCTGGGTGGCAGAGTGAGACTCCCATCTCAAAAAAAAAGAAAAAATCTGATTGAAGTTAAGCATTTTTGGCAAGAATCCTTCATAGGTGATACTGTATCTCCTGTTATGCCACAAATCTGGTCGACTTATGTTAGTTATTTTATTTTATTTTTATTTATTTGTTTTGAGATGGAGTCTCGCTGTGTCCCTCAGGCTGTGAGTGTAGTGGCGCGATCTCAGCTCACTGCAACCTGCGCCTCCCACGTTCAAGCGAATCTCCCGCCTCAACCCCCCGAGTAGCTGGGACTACAGTGTGCCATCATGCCTGGCTAATTTTTGTTTTTTTTTAGTAGTGACAGGGTTTCGCCATGTTGGCCAGGCTGGTCTCGAACTCCTGACCTCAAGTGATCCACCCACCTCGGCCTCCCAAAGTGCTGGGATTACAGGAGTGAGCCACTGCACCTGGCCTCATTAATGATTTTAGATTTACCATAGGATTAGCGTCGTGACAGTCTGATTCCACAGTTGTTCTTTTCCCCCTTGAAACCAGAAAGTAGTTTCTGGTGTTATTTGATACTGTACCAAGGCCCAGATCCCCAAACAACTATTCACCTAATGGTTTTAACATGAAATGATAATATTTAGCCCGAAGCAGTAATTTCATGGGGTTTGTGTGAAAAGAGTTTGAGATTCTGGGTTTATTTAGGAAACCTTAATGTTCCATGTGTTTTTTGTGGTACTTTACACTAATCTGGTGATTTCTTGCTGTCCTTTATTTATTTATTTTTTATTTTTTGAGATGGAGTCTCGCTCTGTCATCCAGGCTGGAGTACAGTGGCTCAATCTCGCCTCACTGCAATCTCCACCTCCCGGGTTCAAGCGATTCTCCTGCCTCAGCCTCCCGGCTAAATTTTGTATTTTTTGTTTTTTAGTAGTAAATTTGTAAATTTTGTATTTTAGTAGAGATGGGGTTTCACCGTGTTGGCCAGGCTGGTCTTGAACTCCTGGCTTCAAGTGATCCACTTTCCTTGACCTCCCAAACTGCTGGGATTACAGGCGTGAGCCACTGGGCCTGGCTTTATTTTATTTTTATTTATTTTATTTCTTTTTGAGATGGAGTATCACTCTTGTTGCCCAGGCTGGAGTACAACGGTGGGATCTTGGCTCACCACAACCTCTGCCTCCCAGGTTCTCGTGCCTCAGCCTCCTGAGTAGCTGGAATTATAGGCGTGTGCCACCACACCTGGCTCCTTTATTTTTTAAATGAAGCCTGGCCTCATAAATGAAGGAAGTTGGTTAGATTAAGTCAGTAGAACTGAATTATTGTCCTGACTGCTCCGACTAGCCATGTAACTTTAGGCAATCACCCTCAGTGTTTGGTGGGGGGGACATAAAATTTTTAAATTAGGTGCCCTCTAAAGTTAGTTTTAGTTTGGAAACATGCTAAAAATTGGTTTAGCTCAAACAGAGTGGGAACCCTGGGGGGATTGGACTCTTTCCTTCCTCTGTTTTGAGACTCTTTGCTTCTGGCTCGGCAGGTTGCTGTTTTTTTTGGTGGTCTGTCTATCAAGAAGGATGAAGAGGTGCTGAAGAAGAACTGCCCGCATATCGTCGTGGGGACTCCAGGCCGTATCCTAGCCCTGGCTCGAAATAAGAGCCTCAACCTCAAACACATTAAACACTTTATTTTGGATGAATGTGATAAGATGCTTGAACAGCTCGGTGAGTGGCAGTGCTGGGGCTTGGCTAATGCTGGGGAGTTGTTCTTTGGAGCCAAATGATGTTTATTTGAAACAGGAGCACCTCAGTGCAAGGACGACTCTTATCTATCACCCATGACTGATGGCTCTGGGTTCCCTGGTTGGTCTTTATTATGCTTTTAAGCACAGTAAAGGGTGTCATCTATCATCTTTCTATGATTTTTGTTTTTAACCTTTGAGAATAGGGGACTTTGATAATTTTAGGCATAAGTCATCACCACCACCACCGTTTTCATTATAGATTCATATACTGGGAGTCATAGCGGAGATTCTAAACTGAAAGAGAAGACAGTACCCTTCTGGCATCTCCAGCACAGCATTTACAGTCAGAATTTATAGCTGAATAAGTGTCTAGACTCAGGTCTGGGATTAATGTAGAGAGTGTTTGTAGCAGTTTGTGTGATGTGGTATTCTAGTGTGCCAGGTGGGGTTAATGGAAGATTTTTCTGTAAGAATTGAATCTTGGTGAATGAGAGTGGGGTTGGACATAGGCCCCATAAGTCATTACAAATGATCTTTGGCAATTCTATATGGTGAGCTATAAAGGTGGGCTCCAGGTAGGGATGTCATATTTGCCTGACTTGATAGAAAAGTAATCCAGAGAGTCATAGATGGACTCTGATATCTGGAATATAATATGTGCTTGATATTTGTAGTCTGCTGAAGGCTGGCTGGGGCTTGGGCAGGAAAGGGTTGGGAGAAGGTCCCATAAAGCATGTTTTGAAGGCCTTGAGAGCCTCTGCACTGGGCTTTATCCCCATTTCATAGTTGGGAACTTTGGGGTTTTACCTTATTTCTTGCTTGGTTAAAACAAACAGCTGGAATCTGATCCCACTTCTTGATTCCAAGTCCATTGCTCTTTCCATTGTGTTGTTACTATTTCCAGCAATCTTCACCTCACTGGGAAGTCTACCTCTAATCTTTGTTTATCATACCTGCTTATTTTCTCCTACAATTTTTTTCCTTGTTCTTGTAGACATGCGTCGGGATGTCCAGGAAATTTTTCGCATGACCCCCCACGAGAAGCAGGTCATGATGTTCAGTGCTACCTTGAGCAAAGAGATCCGTCCAGTCTGCCGCAAGTTCATGCAAGATGTAAATACCCTTCTACCTTCTCTCCCTCCACTCCCCGCCCGCTGCCTCCTCCCCTTCCTCGCCCTCTTCCTCAGACTCCCTTGTCATTCAAGTGCCAAGAAGGCGGCTTGTGCCCAACTGGGAGTAATGACTCCTTGAAGAGACATACAGAAGCAGAGACAGCTAGTGTTAGGGCCTGCGCGGGTGCCAGGGAAACTCCGGAAGACTTGGTCGGGTTAATGTGAGAGCGGGTAGTGTTCGACTTTTTCATAAATCACAACATTTTTGAACCTCTTCTCCCTTTGGGGGAGGGCAGGATTTTTCTGCCCTACCACCCACCCATCCATCGTCTCTTACATGCACCCTACAGCCACGCACCCTCAAGGTGGCATCGAGCGTACAGCTGGAGCCTTCTGCTCACCAAAACTCCTACTTCCCGGTGGCAGGAGAGCAAGAGAGGGACAGACAGATGGCAGGGCATGTCCAAAAGAAGAGCATCAGCACAAATGAATCCTCCCCTTCCCCACCTCCAGGGGTGGGGGCCTTTGGCACCTCAATCCCCGATACCCTACTCCTTCCCACCCACATCTCCTTGCACCCATCTGGAACCTCGGTTGATGTGAGCCGGCAACAGAGAAGCACCGTGGCGCGGCGAGGGAATGCAGACGGCACCCAGCGGTGGATGGCGGCAGCGGAGGCCGCGGGGAAACCTGACCAGGAAGCTGAGGACCAAACCAGCCTCTTTTTCCGTTCCCGGTTTTTTTCCTGAACCCAACGCGTGCCGTGCCCCGTTTCCCCCAATATGTGTTGGGGAGGGGTGTCCTGAATGGGGTGGTAGATTTTTTTTCTTAAAAAAATTTTTTTGTTTTTTTTAATACTCAGAGGAGAGGGACATAGGAAAGGTAAAGTGGATGTAATCGGGTGGTTGTTAGGGTTTGGGGCTAGGTGGGGCCAATTGCATAAGCAGTGGAGTGTGTTCTTCCCCTCCCTGCAGTGTTCCTTCCCGTGGGATGATCACTCTTTAGCTGTATTTGGGGCTAGAATGAGATTTGAAGGAGGCCATGGAACTTCTCTTTAGAAAGCCTGCCTTGGCTGGGCCTGGTGGCTCACCTCTAATCCCAGCACTTTGGGAGGCCAAGGTGGGAGGATTGCTTGAGCCCAGGAATTTGAGACTAGCTGGGGCAGTGTAGTGAGACTTTGTCTCTACCAGAAAAACCGGGCGTGGTGGCGCATGCCTGTAGTCCCAGCTACTTGGGAAGCTGAGGCAGGAGGGTTTGCTTGAGCCCGGGACGTGGAGGTGGCAGTAAGCTGTAATTGTGCCACTGTACTCCAGCCTGGGTGATAGAGAGAGACCCTGTATCAAAACAAAACAAAAAACAAAACCTGCCTTCTGGGATTGGGCTTCTGGTTTTTTTCCCATGACACACGCATCCTTTCCTATTTTGTCCTCTGGGTCTTCATATTAACTATCTTCCCCCAGGATAGTATAAAAAGTGTTAGGAAAGTTGGGCTTTGGAGTTGTGGTAATTTCTGTCTTTGTTACTTTCCTCCCCTTCAGGGGGTTTTTTAATTTTAAAGATGAATGCAGTGAGGTATAATGGTGTGTGCCTGTAGTCCCAGCTATTCAGGAGACTGAAGCAGGAGGATCACTTGAGCCCAGGAATTTGAGGCTATAGTGTGCTATGATTGTGCCAGTGAATAGCCACTGCACTCCAGCCTGGGCAACATGGTGAGATCCTGTCCCTTAAAAGTGTATCTGCTGCTCTGAATTTGGTATTTTAACACCACTTACTGATACCTTTCCTGTAAACCTGTAGATGGTTTAATTCTTAGTCAAGAGACCAGTCTCATCTAAAACTATCCTGTTGTGGTCTGACGGCAAGTAACTCATCTTGAGTAATTTTTGTTTCTCCTTAAGTGGCATTTTGACTGTCCATTGCAGCATTCTGATCTTAAAAGACATCCACTTTGCTAATGCACACGAGATTCTCTTAGTTGAAGTAGGAGAATCAAATGGAGCAGTTGTCCTCCCCCCACCCCATGTTCTTAGAAGCACCTCTGATGGAGTTATTCTGACCTTGAGTCACTGCCTCCCATCATTTCCCAGATGTTTGGTCCTTGCTCTCCCTTTGAGAATCATCTCCCATTTTCTTTCCTCTCCCACCTCTATTTGAGGTAATGGCATCTGTGCCATTGGGTGGTTTCACTGCTCCTTGACTTCATTTGCAGTTTCTTTCCCATGATAGTTTTTAGTTGGGCAGTCTTAAAACTCATCTGATAGGAAGGAAATTAGATGTAATGTGAGAGAGACCACAGTAAAATATGGGTATTTTTGGGAGTGGGGTGGGGTTTTCAATCTTCTCTTTCCTCCCCATCCCCCCATGGGGTGTATTGGAGATCAACTTCCTCCACCCCCCCAGGTTTAACCCCCCCACTCTGCCCTCCTCCCGTTCCCCACCCCCTTCCTCCCCCCCAGCCAATGGAGATCTTCGTGGATGATGAGACGAAGTTGACGCTGCATGGGTTGCAGCAGTACTACGTGAAACTGAAGGACAACGAGAAGAACCGGAAGCTCTTTGACCTTCTGGATGTCCTTGAGTTCAACCAGGTCAGTTAGACGTCCAGTAGGGGGATGAGCATTGGAGCACTCCAGCTGTAGCAGAAACCTGGATATTAAGTACACTTTTATTGAGGAAATCACATGTGTGATGTGGGAGAGAATAATGAGGGTATAAATATCTTAGGGGCTGAGCATGAGTAAGGTGGGAGCTGCTTTTCTATTCTATGGCTGGCACGGGTATGTCCTCAATAACCTCAAGGAAAATAAACTTCAAAAATTAAGATCCTTGGCCAGGCACGGTGGCTTATGTGTGTAATCCCAGCACTTGGGGAGGCTGAGGGAGGTGGATCACTTGAGTCCAGGAGTTTGAGACCAGTCTGGGCAACATGGCGAAACTTCATCACTACCAAAGAAGAAAAAAATTAGCCAGGTGTGGTGGTGTATGCCTGTAGTCCCAGATACTCTGGTGGCTGAGGTGAGAGGATAGCTTGAGCCCAGGAAATTGAGGCTGCAGTGAACTATGATTGCACTACTGTGCTCCAGCTTGGGCAACAGAGTGAGATCTTGTCTCCAAAAGTCCTTGAAGGATTTTAGGAAGTTGTTAAAAGTCTTGAAACGATGTTTGGGGGCATGTTAGGGTTCTTGAATGTTTAATTCCTCTAATAACTGCTTATTCAAGAGAAGCATTTCTGACTGGGTGCAGGGCAGTGGCTCATGCCCATAATCCCAGTACTTTGGGAGGCTGAGGCAGGAGCATTGCTTGAGCCCAGGACTTCAAGACCAGCCTGGGTAACATAGGGAGACGCCCGTCTCTACAAATAGTAAAAATAAAAAATAAAAAAAGTAGCTGGGCGTGGTGGTGTGCACCTGTGGTCCCAGCTGCTTGGGATGCTGAGGTGGAAGGATCTCTTAAACCCAGGAGGGTGGAGGCTGCAGTGACTTGCGATTGCACCACTGCACTCCAGTCTGGGGGACAGAGTGAGACCCCATCTCAAAAAAGTGTTTAATTAATATACTTGTGAGTGGTCTATTTGCATTTAAAACTGCTTTCTAGAATTAGGATAGCTCCCTTAGGTTTAATGTTTTGGTGAGCAGGAATATCAGTTACCCCTCCAGATCTTAATTCTAGTTTTTTATCACTTTTTCATGAGGTGATCTCATCCTCATCTCCTAGCATGTCTGGCAATTTTGATTTCTGAACTCTGTGCTACCTCAGAGGCCAGCTTCCTTAGGGAAAAATCAGTGCTGAAGTAAAGTTATATTTCCTTTTCTGCTCTAAATATATAGTGGGGGAATAAGAGAAATGAAGAGGAATTCCTGAGAACGTAATTACTAGAAACTCCCCTCTCCCACGTAATGTCTCTCACACACCATGGACCCCTATTCCCCCAATTTGCGACCCCCCACCCCACCCCACAACAGGTGGTGATCTTTGTGAAGTCTGTGCAGCGGTGCATTGCCTTGGCCCAGCTACTAGTGGAGCAGAACTTCCCAGCCATTGCCATCCACCGTGGGATGCCCCAGGAGGAGAGGTGAGCTGAAGATGGGAAAGATATTTTGTGTCCTTGGGAGAAAAAGACAGTTGAGAGAAGGGAATCTCAACATGTTTTAAATTTCCTTTCTCACAAAGGCTTTCTCGGTATCAGCAGTTTAAAGATTTTCAACGACGAATTCTTGTGGCTACCAACCTATTTGGCCGAGGCATGGACATCGAGCGGGTGAACATTGCTTTTAATTATGACATGCCTGAGGATTCTGACACCTACCTGCATCGGGTAAACCTCACAGGCTGAAAAAATCCCACTCTCCCATTCCCTTGTTTTCTGTTTGTACATCTTCATTCCTGCCTCTGGGTCTCTTTCCTCTTCGGTCTTCCAGTGCTACCCTCTGTCTCCCTCCAGGTGGCCAGAGCAGGCCGGTTTGGCACCAAGGGCTTGGCTATCACATTTGTGTCCGATGAGAATGATGCCAAGATCCTCAATGATGTGCAGGATCGCTTTGAGGTCAATATTAGTGAGCTGCCTGATGAGATAGACATCTCCTCCTACAGTGAGTACTGATCTCATGAAACCCTTTAGGTCCTCCCTGTTCCTTAGTGTGTTTGTCCGAAATCCCATCACATAGGTCATGGGCATCTGATGCATAATGGACACTTGACTGGTTCATGCCCCCTGGTCTTTGATGCTGTGTTGGGATGTTTTTCTGACCTTTATGTGGGGTGTCTTGTCTTCTCTCATCATATTACATCCCTTCCCTCACCCCCACGTCCGTCCTCTGAACCCAGGCAGTACACCAGTGTCTGCATGTGTGCCGTGTGTTCCTGCCTCACTTTCCCCTTTTCATGCCTTATTCTGACCATGCTACGTTTTCTTCTCAGTTGAACAGACACGGTAGAAGACTCGCCCATTTTGGAATGTGACCGTCTGTCCTTCAGGAGAGGACACCAGGGTGGGGGTGAAGGAGACACTACTGCCCCCACCCCTGACAGCCCCCACCCCATGGCTTCCATCTTTTGCATCACCACCACTCCTGAACCCCCATTTCTGATTTGTCAGAATTTTTTTTTAACAAAACTAAAAATGAAACACATGTGTCTGTGGTATCTATAAGTGCTTCGTCCCTTTATTGTATTTGGGGTGAGGTTATTTTAGGGCATGGTCCAGGGTGAATTCCTATAAGGCCTGGGTGCCCTGCCTGCTGTGAGATCAAAGGGGAATGGGACTAAGACTGCAGAGCCCTGGCTCCCCCACTGCCTGCCAATTGCCTGCGCTTTGTGGTCTCTTCCACTTTCTCTGGCCTGGGAAGACGCTGGGGTGTTTATGATCCCAAGGCTCCTGGTGGGTGGTGCGTGTATTTTCAGCGCCGGAGGGTGCTGTGGGCACTGGGGGAAACTTAGGCGCCTCCTCCAAGGCTCTCTTGGTGCCTCCTCATCTGTTCCTTCAGCTTCTGGATCTTGAGCACCAGGGCTTGGGCCTCCCAGGCCCCCTCCTGCCCTTCAAGGAGGGCCTGGTACAGCTCCAGCTGCTGCTCCAACAACTCTTCAGCTCGGGCCAGCTCAGCTGTGCGGTGGGTCCCAGGGCCCTGGTCAGGGAATTAAGGGAGGGAGCATCAGCCAGGGCAGGGGGCTGAGGCCCTGGGAAGCTTTGTTGCAGGCTGTGGCTGGAAGTGAGAAATTCCACCTTCCCTATTCGTTTTTGAACCGGTCGTTTAAGGACACCTGTACTGAGAAGGCCAGGTAGCTTCCTGTCTTGGGCATAGGCCTCTGGGTGGTAGTAGGGGGAGCAAATAGAGTTCCCTGGCCCAGGGGCTGTAACTGGCTTCCTTGAACAAGGATATGGGGTCACTGGAAAGAGGATCAGCCGCTCCTCCCCGCTAAGAAATAATTAACTGTTAGGTGAGGGGGAATAGATCCTGTTCAAGGACTTTGTGGACTGTGCTGTTGTGGGTGGGGGTGGGGTGAGGGAAGGGAACCCTGAGGTCTGGGCTGGGGGAGGTGGGGAGAGGAGTTGGTAGCTGAACTAAGAAAAGAGCTGCAGGGGTAGGCATGGTGTGGGGTGGTGCAGGGTGGGATTGAGGGTTTTTTTTTCCCACACCCCAGTGTAAATTCTCACACCCTCTGTTCCTACCTGTGGTGCCACTTACCCTGGGAGGGGACGTCATCTTCCCATTTCCTCTGGAGCTGGTCTGCTCTTCCATGCTTGCTTTGGGGTTTTGGGAGCAGCACCCATGGGAGCCCTGGGGTGCCAAGGACCAGGAGGGCAGAAGGAGGCGAAGGAAATGGTACCGAGAGAGCCAGGGCAGAGGGAGGACCATGGCGGGTGACCTGGCAGGGAGCTGTGTGAGCTGTCCAACGGCCACCAGGAACTGGTTCGCTCCAGGACTTGGCCTCACTTGAGTGCCTGGCCCTGCCCAGGCCCCAGCCCCCAGCCCTGCCCCTGCCCCTGCCCCACTCTGCCCCACGTCTCTCCCAGCCTGGCCCCAGACAGAGTCCAGGAACAACTCCTGTTCCTGATGTGAAAAATGTCCCTGCCAGTTTAGGCAGAACTTGCTTTAGAGCACTGGTGCCCAGCCTACCACAGGTCTGTGATTTTTTTTTTTTGATCTAGTGTTTATTAGGTATGAATTTTACAAACATTAGCGGTAGCTGTGGAGCTGGAGAGTATTGCACCTTCTCCAAGCTGCATGGCGAGAACCACCAATAGTGTGGTAGAACTTACAGCCCTTTCCAAGGCCGTGGCTCTCTTGGCCTGCAGATAGCCTACGCATCTCCCTATGCTTGTTGTGGACCACTGGGTGTCAGGTTTCCTTCTGATAGTGTTATGGAATGGATCAACTAGGATAGCCTCAAAAACTTTGTATGTGGAATCTTTAACCAGCCCAGTGAGAATTCAGGACTCAGAGCCCCACAGTGGCATCCAGCTTGCTCTTCTGTAACAGACTGAAGGCTTTAAGCAAACTAGCTGGTTAACACCATGATAGACAGGCTTGCTGTTAAGTTGCCTTCTTAGGAACTAGATTTTCAGCCACCGTGGCGCTTATATGTAACATAACCTTGCTTGGCTGTAGCCCAGTAGCGTGCTTTATTGGGCTGGGTGGGGCGGGGATCCCTGTGGAGAGCAGAGAGCTGGTGGTACTGCCAGCAGCGGACCCTCAGAAGAAAGCTCATGACATCAGACTGCTTCTTCCATAGCTTCTGGATGTACTTGTATGCACCATCTTGGTTTACCCAGTGGCTGCTGCCAGACAGAAAGGAAAGGCTACCACAGGTCTTGTGTCTTTTTTTTTTTTTTTTTTTTTTTGAGACGGAGTCTCGCTCTGTTGCCCAGGCTGGAGTGCAGTGGCGCAATCTGGGCTCACTGCAAGCTCTGCCTCCCGGGTTCACGCCATTCTCCTGCCTCACCCTCCCGAGGAGCTGGGACTACAGGTGCTCGCCACTACGCCCGGCTAATTTTTTGTATTTTTAGTGGAGACGGGGTTTCACCGTGTTAGCCAGGGTGGTCTCGATCTCCTGACCTCATGATCCGCCCGTCTTGGCCTCCCAAAGTGCTGGGATTACAGGCGTGAGCCACCGCACCCGGCATTTCTTAACACTGTCTTTTCTCACTTCACTCTGCAAGGTAGGAATTACCTCACTGGTTTGCACCTGAGGAAACTGGCTCAGATGGTTTCATTCAGCATTCACTGGGGAAGTGTCTGTTGGGGGCAGCTCTAGGCTGGATGTGCTCGAAGGTCCATAGCTGGTTGTTGGTAGGGCCTGGAGGGTTCATGTCTAGGTCCACCTGACTTGAAAGCTCATCCTGACCTTGCTTAAGTGCTGATTCCCCTTTGCAGATGTACCTTTTATTGTGCTTCCCTTTATTGCTCTTTGCAGATGCTGTTTTTTATTTAGAGATTGGAGGCTTGTGGCAACCCTGTGTCAAGCACATCAAACAGGTCTATTGGTGCTATTTTCCCAACAGCAGGCAGACATCATGTCTCCATGTCACGCTGTGGAATTCTCAAAATGTTTCAAGCGTTTTCATTATTATACTTGTTACAGTGACCTGTAATCAGTTACTGAAGTTAACTATTGTGATTGTTTTGGGACACCATGAGCGATGCTCATATAAGACAGCAAACTTAATGGAAAAATGTGTGTGTTGTGACTGCTTCACCAACTGGCCATTCTCCCGACTCTGCTTTCCAGGCCTCCCTATTCCCTGAGGCACAACAATATTGAAAGGAATAATCCATGCGGCAAATGGCAAACATCATTGTCTTATTTTAAGAAGTTGTCAAAGCAGCCTTCAGCAGCCATGCCCCTGATCCATGGAGGCAAGACCCTCCCCCAGCAAAAAGATCAGGATTAGCTGAAGCCTCATATGATGGTTAGCATTTGTTTAGCAATTAAGTATTTTAAAATTAAAGTATATGGCCAGATACAGTGGCTCACGCCTGTAATCCCAGCACTTTGGGAGGCCGAGGTGGGTGGATCACTTGAGGTCAGGAGTTCAAGATTAGCCTGGCCAACATGGTGAAACCTCATCTCTACTAAAAATACAAAAATTAGCTGGGCATGGTGATGGGCACCTGTAGTCCCAGCTACTTGGGAGGCTGAGCAGGAGAATGGCTTGAACTCAGGAGGCGGAGGTTGCAGTGAGCCAAAATCGTGGCACTGCACTCCAGCCTGGGTGACAGAGCGAGACTCCATTAAGTATATACACAGTTTTTTGTACACAATGCTACTGTACACTTAACAGACTACAATATAGTACAAACATAACTTTTATGCACAATAGGAAACTAAAAAGTTTGTGTGACTCACTTTGTTGCTATGGTCTGGAAACAAATCTTCAGTATCTCCGAGGTATGCCTGTCATTTCCCTTTCCCTCTTCTTGCTGGCCCAGAATGACCTTGTTTCTTGCCCCTGTCTAGCCCTGCATGCTGTAGGGGTTTGCCTTCTCTGGTAGGTCTGGGCACTTTGTATCCCTTGTAACCTTGGCTCCTGGGATATGACACTGGTACAACTGGCCTCAAGTTCTGTTGGACTAGTGAGCCTCCCCCAACACCTCCTGAAGTAGAACCAAAGGCCTGTGCACACACCGTGCATGTGTGAGTCTGCATAGAGATGTCAGCTTCCTGCAGGGTGTTCTGAAGGGATGTCCTGTTGTGACTGGACTGTGACATAGCCACAGGCCCAGAGGCAGGAGTGGCTCAGAAGGGAGTGGCTGGTCCCAATTTTGATCATCTAGGAACAGGAAGGTCCTTAGAAAACCATGCCCCAGAAGGCAGGATTGCTGGAGAGTGGACAGCTGCTAGCCAGCTCGCTATCTGGATATCACTCTGCATTGGGAGGGAAGATGGCCTCTGCCATGGTGTAAGAGTCCAGGAACCAGGCAGTGAGGACTTCCCAGCGGTCAGTGCTTCTCACACTTGCGGGCCAAAGCACCTTTAGATGAGGCCAAAGACTTTACGTTCCTCATTAGCTGACTTTTTCCCACTTAAGTGGAAAAAGAACCCAGAACCTTTGTAAAAGTTTAAGGGGAGAAGGGCTTTCCCTCTTGTATCTTGGTGATAAGGTTATGCATGACTCATACTTTAATTGCAATGTGTACACAGCTAAAGTCTTAATTATTAGAATATAAGAGCCCCAAACTACTGTTATTATAGATAAGCGAAACTATGCAGTATATGGTTAAACAAACCACAACTAATTAACATTGAAAGTTGGCCGGGCGCAGTGGCTCATGCTTGTAATCCCGGCACTTTGGGAGGCCGAGGCAGGGGGATCGCTTAAGGTCAGGAGTTCAAGACTAGCCTGGCGAACATGATGAAACCCCGTCTCTACTAAAAATACAAAAAATTAGCTAAGCGTGGTGGTAGCCACCTGTAATCCCAGCTACTTGTGAGGCTGAGGCAGGAGAATTGCTTGAACCTGGGAGGCGGAGGTTGCAGTGAGCTGAGATTGTGCCACTGCACTCCAGCCTGGGCGACAGAGCAAGACTCCGTCTCTCAAAAAAAAAAAAAAAAAAAAAAAAAAAAAAAAAAAAAAGAAAAGAAAAAAAATTAACTACATTTTTGGGAGGTGGACAGAGCAATGCTCTGTCACCCAGGCTGGAGTGCAATGGCACAATCTCTGCTTGCTGGAACCTCCGCTTGCCGGGTTCAAGCAATTCTTATGCCTCTGCCTCCCAAGAAGCTGGGATTACAGACGTGTGCCACTATGCCGAGCTAATTTTTGTATTTTTAGTACAGACAGGGTTTCACCATGTTGGCCAGGCTGGTCTTGAACACCTGGCCTCAAGTGATCCGACTGCCTCAGCCTCCCAGAGTGCTGGGATTACAGGTGTGAACCACCGTGCCTGGCCCTCTATCTGTTAATTTAAAAGATTAGCAGCCATTTAGAAAAAACAACAAATGAGACTTTTGCAAGACAATCTAAATGATACACTAATAACAATCCTTTGGGAAAGTGACATTTCAACCATGTGAGTTTCTGCTTTAGGTTATGAACTCCAAAATGGACTAAATGGACTAACCCCCAATAATTTATAGTAGCTAGTTTTTTTTTTTTTTCACAGTAGGTAATTCTAAACCATAAATAAAATAGAATCTGAATTTTGGCTTTGTTCACCTGTGGGAACTTAATTAAGAAAGCACTGGCCTTTGGGTCGGTTCAAATATAGTGGATGAGGCCAGGCGCAGTGGCTCACACCTGTAATCTCAGCACTTTGGGAGGCCGAGGCGGGCGGATCATGAGGTCAAGAGATCGAGACCATCCTGGCCAACATGGTGAAACCCCGTCTCTACTAAAAATACAAAAATTAGCCGGGCATGGTGGTGCACGCCTGTAGTCCCAGCCACTCGGGAGGCTGAGGCAGGAGAATCACTTGAACCCGGGAGCCAGAGGTTACAGTGAGCTGAGATCATGCCACTGCACTCCAGCCTGGCGACAGAGCGAGACTCTTGTCTCAAAAAACAAAAAACAAAACCAAAAAGAAAGAAAACCAAATATAGTGGATAATCGTGGATCTCATAATTGTAGAAATGAAGGAATTAAGCTAAAAAAATACATAAACCAGAATACCTAGTGCTAAAGTGGAATGTCCCCACCAAAACTCATGTTGACATTTAATTGCTATCCTAATGGTATTAAGATGCAAGACTTTTTTTTTTTCTTTTTTTGAGATGGAGTTTCGCTCTTGTTGCCCAGGCTGGAGTGCAATGGCACAATCTCAGCTCACTGCAACCTCCGCCTCCCATGTTCAAGTGATTCTCCTGTCTCAGCCTCCTGAGTAGTTGGAATTACAGGCACATGCCACCACGCCCAGCTAATTTTTGTATTTTTAGTAGAGACGGGGTTTCATCATATTGGTCAGGCTGGTCTTGAACTCCTGACCTCAGGTGATCCACCTGCCTTGGCCTCCCAAAGTGCTGGGATTACAGGCATGAGCCACCGTGCCCAGCCGATGTGGGACCTTTCAGGGTTGATTAGATTGAATAGATTAATGCCATTGTATGGCATGATAGAAATCAGTTCAGCCTCTTTGCCCTTCCACCTCTCACTATGGGATGATACTGCAGCCAGGCCCTCATAAGATGCCAGTGTCATGCTCTTGGACTTCTCAGCCTCCAGCTCTGTGGGAAAAACATTTATTGTCTTTATAAATTACCCAGTCTGTGCTGGGTGTGGTGGCTCAAGCCTGTAATCCCAGCACTTTGGGAGGCCAAGGTGGGTGGAAGGCTTGAGCCCAGGAGTTTGAGACCAGCCTGGGCAACATGGCAAAACCCATCTCTACAAAAAAACACAAAAATTAGCTGGTGTGGTCGTGCGGGTCTGTGGTCCCAGTTATTTAGGAGGCTGAGGTGGGAGGATCACTTGAGTCTGGGAGGTGGAGGTTGCAGTGAGTCGAGATCATGCCACTGCACTCCAGTCTGAGCGACAGAGAGAGACCCTGTCTGAAAAAACAACAAAATAAATTACCCAGTCTGTAGTATTCTGTTATAGCGGCAGGAAACGGACTAAGACACATAGATTATGTTACTGTGTTTATTTATTTATTGTTGTTTTTGTTATTCCTGACTCTTAATATAGAGTCTTAATCAGATGAGCATTCTGGCCTGGTCTCCGCAGAAGGGGCCTGTCTTTAGCCACGGACAAGAGGAGATTAAGGCCAGCATCATCCACAAGGTCAAGGGGCTGCAGAGCCCCCTAAGGCCAGTGTGCTGATGGGCCCCTCAATATTGTATCCTACCCAGTGGATTGGCAGGACTGGGTGACTGACAGGAATCATTGTTGCCTCTATGGGAAAGTCTTATGGAGATGGGGGCTGAGGGATGTTGAAGTTTAGCCATTACATTACAGTGAGAGAGATTACATTACTAAGTGTCAGAGACCCTGCTGGGCACTTTCTGTTACTGTCACAGGTGGCTTTCACAGTAACCTTTTAAGAGAGCTCTTTTCATTTTTCTTGTACATGGCTGTCCAGTTGTTCCAGCAGCATTTGCTGAAAAGACTATCTTTATTGTATTGTCTTTGCTCCTTGTATTTATGTGGGACTATTTCTTGGCTCTCTATTCTGCTCAAGTGGATCAATTTGTCTATTCTTTGCCAATGCCACTCTGTCTTTCTAAAATTAATTTTTCGATTGACTAATTTTATACATTTGTGGTGTACATCATGTTTATATATATATGCACATACATACACACACATTGTGGAATGGATAAACCAAACAATTTAATAATATGTACATTACCTCACATACATATTTTGTGTGTATGTGATGAGAATGCTTAAAGCTATTCTCATACTATTTTGAAATACACAATATGTTGTTATTAAGTTTAGTCACCATAAGGTACAATAGATCTCTTGAACTTATTCTTCCTAACTGAAATCTTGTGTTCTTTGACTAACATCTCCCCAATTCCCCGACCTCCCAGCCTCTGATAACCACCAGTTTACTCTCTATTTATGAGTCTGGCTTTTTCTATACTCCACATATAAGTGAGATTGTATTTGTCTTTCTGTGCCTGGCTTATTTCACTTAACATAATGTCTTCCAGGTTCATCCATGTTGTCACAAATGACAGGATTTTGTTTTTTAAGGCTGAATAGTATTCCATTTTTTATATATACCACATTTTCTTTATCCATTCATCCATTGATGGACACTTAGGTGGATTCTATATCTTGGCTATTGAGAATAATGCTGCAGCCAGGTGCAGTGTCTCGTGCTTATAATCCCAGATAATTGGGAAGCTGAGACAGCAGGATCGCTTGAGGCCAGGAGTTGCCCTGGGCAACATAGACTCTATCTCTAAAGGAAAAAAAAAAAAAAAGAATAATGATGCAATGAATATGGGAGTGCAAATATCTCAACGTACTGATTTCATATCCTTTGGATATATACCCATTAGTGGGATTGCTGGATCATGTGGTATTTCTATTTTTAAAATTTTTGCAGAACCTCCATACTGTTTCCCACAATGGCTATGCTAATCACCACTCTGTCTTGATTACTATGGCTTTATAGAAAGTCTAAGTCAGGTAGTGGTGGTCTTTGACTTTATTTTTCTCCTATATTGTGCTGGCTAGGTCTTTTGCCTCACCATATAAAGTTTGAATCAGTTTGTTAATATCCACAAAATAACTTACTGAGGTTTTTTATTGAGATTGCATTCATTCCACAGATCAAGTTGGAAAGAACAGATATATTAACAGTATTGAGCCTTCCTGACTATGAACATGGAATATCTCTCCATTTGTTTAGTTCTTTGATTTCTTTTGTCAGTTTTGTAGTTTTGTTCATATAGATCTTGTACATATTTTCTTAGATTTGTACCTAAGTGTTTCATTTTTGGGGGTGCTAATGTAAGTGGTATTGTGTTTTAAATGGCAAATTCTGGACCAGGCACGGTGGCTCACGCCTGTAATCCCAGCACTTTGGGAGGCTGAGGCAGGCAGAACATGAGGTCAGAAGTTCGAGATCAGCCTGGCCAACATGGTAAAACCCCGTCTCTACTAAAAATACAAAAATTAGCTGGGCATGGTGGGGCACACCTGTAATCCCAGCTACTCAGGAGGCTGAGGCAGGAGAATTGCTTGAACCTGGGAGGAGGAGGTTGCAGTGAGTTGAGATCGCGCCACTGCACTCTAGCCTGGGCGACAGAACAAGACTCCGTCTTGAAAAAAAAAAATTAAATGGCGAATTCTACGTGCTCATTGCTGATACATAGAAAAGTGATTGGCTTTTACATATTAACTTTATATCCTGCAACCTTGCTATAATTGCTTGTTAGTTCCAGGAGTTTTTTATGTGTGGATTCTTTTTGATTTTCTACATAGACAATCATATCATCTGTAAACAAAGACAGTTTTATTTCTTGTTCCAAATTTGTATACCTTTTAGTTCCTTTTCTTGTCTTACTACTTTAGCTAGGACTTCCAGTACAACGTTGAAAAGCTGTGTTGAGAGGGTCATTCCTGCCTTGTTCTGATCTTAGCAGGCAAGCTTTTAGTTTCTCACCATTAAGTGTGATGTTAGCTGTGGATGTTTTGTGGATGTTGTTTATCAAGTTGAGTAAGGTCTTCTCTATTCCTAGCTTGCTAAGAGATTTTTTTTTTTAATCATCATGAATGGGTGTTGGATGTTGTCAATTGCTTTTTCTGCCTCTATTGATATGATCATGTGATTTTCTTCTTTAGCCAGTTGATTTAATGGATTACATTAACTGATTTTCCAATGTTGAAGTAACTTTGCATACCTGGGATAAATCTTACTTAGGCATGGTGTATTGTTCTTCTCATACATTGTGGATTTGATTTGCTAGCATTTTGCTGAGGATTTTTGCACCTATGTTCATGAGAGATATTGGTCTGTGGTTTTCTTTTTTTGTGAAGTCTTCATCTGATTTTGGTATTTGGCTAATGCTGGCCTCATGGAATTAGTTAGAAAGTATTCCCTCATGGAATCCTGGCCTCATGAAATGAGATAGAAAGTGTCTGTCTTGGCTTTGCAGACGCCACCATCAGGAGCCCCATACTATCAGCCATGGTCAACCCCACCGTGTCCTTCAACATCGCTGTCAATGGTGAGCCCTTGGGCTGTGTCTCCTTCAAGCTGTTTGCAGACAAGTTTCCAAAGACAGCAGAAAACTTTCGTGCTCTGAGCACTGGAGAGAAAGGATTTGATTATAAATGTTCCTCCTTTCACAGAATTATTCCAGGGTTTATGTGTCAGGGTGGTGACTTCACACGCCATAATGGCACTGGTGGCAAGTCCATCTACGGGGAGAAATTTGATGATGAGAACTTCATCCTAAAGCATACAGGTCCTGGCATCTTGTCCATGGCAAATGCTGGACCCAACACAAATGATTCCCGGTTTTTCTTTTTTCTCTTTTTTTTGAGATGGAGTCTTAACTCTGTCGCCCAGGCTGGAGTGCAGTGGCGCGATCTTGGCTCACTGCAACTTCCGCCTCCCAGGTTCAAGCAATTCTCCTGCCTCAGCCTCCTGAGTAGCTGGGATTACAGGCATGCACCACCATGCCTGGCTAATATTTGTATTTTTATTAGAGACGGGGTTTCACCATGTTGGTCAGGCTGGTCTTGAACTCCTGACCTCAGGTGATCTGCCCATCTCGGCCTCCCAAAGTGCTGGGATTACGGCATGAGCCACCTAGCCCGGGCAATTCCCAGTTTTTCATCTGCACTGCCAAGACTGAGTGGTTGGATGGCAAGCCCATGGTCTTTGGCAAGGTGAAAGATGGCATGAATATTGTGGAGGCCATGGAGCACTTTGGGTCTGGGAATGGCAAGACCATCAAGAAGATCACCATCGCTGACTGTACACAACTTGACTAAGTTTGACTTGTGTTTTTTTTTGAGACTGAGTTTCGCTCTTGTTGCCAGGCTGGAGTGCAATGGCGCCATCTCGGCTCACTGCAACCTCTGCTTCCTGAGTTCAGGCGATTCTTCTGCCTCAGCCTCCCGAGTAGCTGGGATTACAGGCATGCGCCACCACACCTGGCTAATTCTGTATTTTTAGTAGAGACGGGGTTTCTCCGTGTTGGTCAGGCTGGTCTTGAACTCCTGACCTCAGGTGATCCCACCTGCGTCAGCCTCCCAAAGTGCTGGAATTACAGGTGTGAGCCACCGCGCCCGGCCTGACTTGTGTTTTATCTTAACCACTAGACCATTGCTTCTGTAGCTCAGGAGAACACCCTCCATCCATCTGCTCGCAGTATCTAGAATCTTTGTGCTCTCACTGCAGTTCCCTTTGGGTTTCATGTTTTCCTTGTTCCCTTCCATGCCTAGCTGGATTGCAGCATTAAGTTTATGATTATGAAATTAACACTGAATAACAACAACAACAAAAGAAAGTATGTCTTCTGGAAGAGATTATAGAAAATTGGTATAATTTTTTCCTTAAATGTTTGATAGAATTTATCAGTAAACCCATTTGGGGCTGATGTTTTCTGTTTCTGAATGTTATTAATTATCGATTTAATTTAATATATGTCTATTCATTTCATTTTTTAAATTAATTTTTTTTATAAGACAAGGTCTCACTATGTTGCCCAGGCTTCTCTCAAACTCCTGGGCTTAAATTGGCCTCCCAAAGGGCTGGGATTACAGGCATGAGCTACTGTACCTAGCTTCATTTCACTTTTAGTTAAATTTGTTTTGAATAATAATAGATTTAACTTTGGGAGGCCGAGGCGGACAGATCACCTGAGGTCGGGAGTTCGAGACCACCCTGGCCAACATGGCGAAACCCCATCTCTACTAAAAATACAAAAACTAGCCGAGCGTGGTGATGGGTGCCTGGAATCCCAGCTACTGGGGAGGCTGAGGCAGGGCAATTGCTTGAACCCAGGAGGTGGAGGTTGCAGTGAGCTGAGATCGCGCCATTGCACTCCAGCCTGGGCGACAGAGCGAGACTCCATCTCAAAAAAAAAACAAAAACAAAACAAACAAAAAAACCCAATAACAATAACAATAATAGATTTAAAGAGTTGCAAAGCTAGAACACAGAGTTTCCATAAACCCCAGCTTTCCTTAATGTTAACATCTAACAAAATTCTGTCAAGACTAAGAAACTAAGAAATTAACATTGCTATAATACTATTCGCTAAACTGTAGACTTTATTTGGACTTCACCAGTTTTTCCAGGGCCCATTAATGCATTTAGCTTTTGGGTCTCCCTAGTCTTTCTGATCATGAGTTTCTCAGTCTTTACCTGTTTTCATGACCTTGAAAGTTTTGAAGAATACTGGATAGATAATTTGTAGGATGTCCCTCACTTTGGGTTTGCCTGATGCTTCCTTATGATTAGATTGGGGTTATGGGTTTAAGGGAAGAATACCATAGAGGGGAGTGTCCTCATCACATCATTTCTGGGGGGCAAGATGTTAACATGACTCTGATTGCTTGGTAGTGTCTGCTACATTTCTCCACTGTAAAGTTATTATTTTTCCTTTTTCATACTCTAGTCTTTGGAAGCAAGTCAGCAAGTCCAGCCCATATTCAAGGTGAGAGAAATAAAATTCCAATCTCCTGGGAAAGAGATTCTCGTAATATATGTTTTGAAATTCTTCTGTAAGGAAGATTTGCCCCTTCTTCCCTATTTATTTATTTAATTATTTTTGATTAAATAAATCAGTGTGGAATGAATATTTATTTATATTTTGGGTCATAATCCAATACTATTGTAACTTTGTTGCTCGGATTATTCCGGCTTTGTCCATAGGGAGCTCTTTCAGGTTGACTCCTGTGTCCCTCTGACATGCCCTTATTTTTTGGTGGTGAGGGTTGGGAGATGGGTGGCGGTTACTTTCTGGCATTACAAGATGTTCCAGGCTCACCTTATATTTTTCCTATGCCAGCCCTAGAATCAGCTGTTTTTCTATGGAGCCCTGAATCCTTTTATCAGAGAATGACTTATCACAACCAAGGTCTAGGCACTGGGTGCTCACTTCACTCTTCTAAGGAGGACACAGAGGTCTCAAGACCTGTGTGAACTCACACAGGCACATAAATGGCTCTCACTTCAGCACCACTTTAGAGCTGATTCAGCTGGGCATGGTGGCTCATGCCTGTAATCCCAGAACTTTGGCAGGCTGAGGCAGGCGGATCACCTGAGGTCAGGAGTTTGAGACCAGCCTGGCCAACATGGCGAAACCTCGTCTCTGCTGAAAAATACAAAAATTAGCTGGGCATGGTGGCGCATGCCTGTAATCCCAGCTACTTGGGAGCCTGAGACAGGAGAATTGCTTGAGTCGGGGAGGCAGAGGTTGCAGTGAGCTGAGATCATGCCACTGCACTCCAGCCTGGGCGACAGAGCAAGACTCCGTCTCAAAAAAAGAAAAAAAAAAAAAAGAGAAAGAAAAAAAGAGCTGATTCAGCTCAGACTTTGACTTCCCCGAGTTGATGAGCAATTTTCCATGCAGGTCTTTATTTCTTAAAGCTTCTGTTTTTCAGTATGCAGGGCTTAGGCACTAGTAATTTTATTCCCTAATATTTGGAGACTTTCCTAAAATAAACATTTTACATTTTGGTAACATGATTCACTTAGAGAATTGACCAGAATAGACAAGAGGAAGAAGCCGGTGGAGGGAGGAGGCACATTGTTCTTTCCTGTGGAGTATTTCTCAATTCCTGCTGCTCTTTCCACATCCCTGGGCCTGGGAGAAGGATGGCACCCTTGGACCATGACAGAAAAATGGTGATTTGGAAATACCTGCCTCTTCTGTCTCCCTACCCTTCCATTTCAGTGCCCATTCTCCCTCCCAACCCATGGCCCATGAGCTTTTCCTTCTCCTAGCCTCTCACCTAGTGCTGGCTCCTCAGAGGGAAGTGAACCATCACCCCCTGGAGGGTGGAACTGGGGAGAGAGAGGCCAGAGCCTGGGGCTGGGGCAGAAGCTGCAGCAGGAAGGAAGGAGGTTAGAGAGACAGATGAGGGGTGAGATGTGAGTGCTCAGAGGGAGAATGAGGACATCCCCAGCATCTCCATAGAGGAGGGAGGAAGGGGCCTTGGGTGCTGGGGCAGAGAGGGGGGCAGGATCTGGATGGGACGCCCCACCCTCAGCCTCTGGTCCTCTGACAACACCTCACCTAGTCACACTGAGGGGCTTCTCCAGGCCCAGGAGCACCTGCAGGCAGGTGTATCTCAGGCCTTCTCTGGGAGGGCCCCCCACAGCTGCCCAGCCCTGATATGTCTCATCTTCCTGGGTCTGGTCCCCTTGAGTCTTGAGTCCAGAGTTGGCTCCTCCCCTTCCTGCAGCCAGGTCAGAGTGATGTTGGCAAGTGAGAAGCCAGGTGCTCTACATGGCAAGGTGTGGTTGCCCTCAGGGTCCTCCTTGTCAGGGACCACAACTTTGGGGAAGTCGGGGAGGCACCGGATGCAGGAGATAGAGAACAGAGAGGTGGAGTGAGAGTGGGACACACTTCAGCCTCCCCTCCTCTCCTAGTCTTCCTCCACATGCCAGTGCCTTTCCCTCCCCAACTCCAGCACTTCTAACAGCCACAGCAGGAAGGGGAGACCCAAATCCCCATCACTCTCTGCCACAGTCTCTGTGAGTGTGGCCACCTCCATTTCCACTGCAGCTTTAGGGTCTGCCCCAGAGCAGAGTCCTGGGTATGCTTAGAGTGGGATACTGGAAGGTTCTTCCTTCAAATATCTGCATGGCTGTTTCTCTCCTTCTCAAGTCTGCTCACATGGCTCCTCCAAGAGGCCTACCCTGACCACCTGCCTCGGCCTCCCAAAGTGCTGGGATTACAGGCGTGAGCCACCACGCCCGGCCATTGTCCTGGCTCAATCTGATCAGGAATTCTTTTTTACTTTTTTCTTTTTGATTTTTTAGGTTCAAGGGATACATATTCAGGTTTGTTACATGGGTAAATTGTGTATCACGGGTGTTTGGTGTGCAGATAATTTTGTTACTCAGGTAATCAGCACAATACCCAATAGGTAGTTTTTTAATCCTCCCCCTCCTCCCACCCTCCACCCTCAAGGAGGCCCCAGTGTCTATTGTTCCCTTCTTTGTGTCCATGTGTACTCAATGTTTAGCTGCCACTTATAGGTGAGAATATGTGGTATTTGGCTTTCTGTTCCTACATTAATTTGCTTAGAATAATGGTCTCCACCTCCATCCATGTTGCTGTGAAGGACATGATTTCGTTCTTGTTTTTTTGGCTGGGTAGCGTACCATGGTGTATAAGTGCTGCAGTTTTCTTTTCTTTTCTTTTCTTTTTTTTTTGAGACGGAGTCTCATTCTGTCACCCAGGCTGGAGTGCAGTGGCGTGATCTCGGCTCACTGCAAACTCCACCTCCTGGGTTCATGCCATTCTCCTGCCTCAGCCTCCCGAGTAGCTGGGACTACAGGCGCCCGCCACCACGCCCGGCTAATTTTTTGTATTTTTAGTAGAGACGGGGTTTCACTGTGTTAGCCAGGATGGTCTCGAACTCCTGACTTCGTGATCTGCCCGCCTCACCCTCCCAAAGTGCTGGGATTACAGGCGTGAGCCACCGCGCCTGGCCCTGTGCCGCAGTTTTCTTTATCCATTCCACTGTTGATGGGCATCTGGGTTGATTCCTTACCTTTGCTATTGTGAATAGTGCTGCACTGATCACAAATTCTTAAAAGTGGAGATAACTGAAGAAATGTAGGTCAGGTGTAGTGTTAGATTTCATCTACAGTGATTTCTACATCTAGTGAAATATGATTGTCTCTTTTTAAATTATTGAATTAAGTGTTAAAATGCATTAAAAGATTTAAAGTTTAAATATTCTTTTATTCTTGGGATTCATAACTTGGTCAAGATATTTAATTTGTTTATAGCACACTGATGGACACAGTCTACTATTTTTCTCATCTATTTTACATCTAATTACTAATAGTGATTTTCCTATCTTGTTTCTTTATTATTTGTTCCCTAACTGGCTTTAGAATTAACACTATTCATAGCTGATAAAGTGAGTTGCCTAGCTTTCTGTATTTTGCTCCATTCTCTTGAATATTTTAAATAAGTCCAATAACCTTCTTTGAAGGTTTAGTAGGACTTCCCTGTGAAACAATCTGTATATAGTTGGGCAGAGATAGAATTTTTACAACTGTTTTAACTTCTTACTTGCAGTAAGTCTTTTCCATCGACATTTTTTTTTTATAATTTCAAGATTGTTTACATCTCTACTATAGCTGCAGTGGCATATTTATCTGTCATAACACTGTCTTGCTCTTAATTAACATTGTCTGTTTTTTTTCTCTGTTCAAAGAAACAGCTGCTTTTGGCAGGCTGGGTCCTCAGCAGTGGCAGCTGCCAGGTCAGCCTTGGTGAGTGGTGACTCAATTGCTCTGTCCATGCAGTGTCCATCCCAGCCACCACGGCCACTTTGTGCAGGGACTCATGAGCAAGCCTTGTGCGGCTGAGTGGCATCATCCATCAAGCCATCTCGCTCACCTGGTTACAGGGAGCCCCAGCCCCTTGGAGACCCTCTGGCAGGCATCCATATGCAACCTCTATCTTCACATGCTCTTCCCATGGAAAGTGGTCAGTGCACACTTCTCTCTTCCATCCCCCAATTTTACAACTTTATTTTCCCCAAGTTCCAGACTGGCCAGGCAACCCATGAGTCACTGCCCTTGATTCATTCATTCATGCACTACTGGGGCATAATTTCTACCCTCTACCTCCTGTGGTCTTGTTTGGGTTTTGATTCCTAGTTCCTGGCTCGACAGCCCTTTCCAAAGCTGTTCTGGTGTCAGCTCCCAAGCCTACTGCTCTTGTAGATTCTCCTTTTTATATCTGAGTCATGGGCATTTATTTCCTGGAATTAAAAAAAAATTCACTGGTATTTTCAATGCAGCATTTCTAAGGACTTGGAGTAGGAGAAATTCTATATTAGCTTAGAGAGAATTGTTTCAAAACACCAGAAATGTAAACTTGAATGAAGGACAACATGCATGTAGAAAGGTGGACAAATCACAGGTGGGCAGTGGGTTTTGCCCAAGTAAAAACTCAGATAAACAACACCTTCATCAAGCAACATCATTTTCACCCTCCAAGAAACACCGTTGAGTCATAAACCAGCCTCCCCCACCCTAGAGTAGCCACTGTCTTGATTTTTAACACTGTAGATGAGTTCTGTTGGTTCTGATTGAATGAAATTAGAAGTTGTTTTCATGTAGTCGGGCTCATCATCTTTGTTGGGCTCATCATCTTGCTGTGTGTGGTCATAACCGATTCTCTCCCATGGCCGTCAAGTGCTCCACTTTATTTATTTATTTATTTTGAGACGGAGTTTCACTCTTGATGCCCAGGCTGGAGTGCAATGGCGCCATCTCGGCTCACTGCAACCTCCGCCTTCCCGGTTCAAGCAATTCTCCTACTTCCGCCTCCCGAGTAGCTGGGATTACAGGCATGCGCCACCACTCCCGGCTAATTTTGTGTTTTTAGTAGAGACACAGTTTCTTCATGTTGATCAGGATGGTCTTGAACTCCCGACCTCAGGTGATCCACCAGCCTCGGCCTCCCAAAGTGCTGGGATTACAGGCGTAAGTCACCGCATCCAGCCAAGGGTAAATCTCTTATTTTAGAAATTATTCAGCTAGTGAATGGGGAAGGAATGAGAGACTGAGACTATAATTCTTTTGCAACCCATAACGAATTAACAGATTTAGCCATTGAAAAGCAATGGCAATTAAAAGTAGAGTAGAAGTAAATAACCAGTACTAAGTTCTTCCTCCTGATGGAAGAATACAATGGAGTGCCATAAATGAAGTATTCAAGAAGAAAATCAAGTCAGTCTATAAGCAAATCTCTGTAGCCAACTACCAATTTGTAGAAAGTACAGATAAAACAGGTCCATATTAAACTATGCCTTGGGGTGGAGCCAGCAAAATGCAAACTATGGAAAACTCAGCCAGACAATAAAATTTCAAGGAGGAGCATAGAGAAAAAAAGAGAACAGGCCAGGTGCGGTGGCTCACGCCTGTAATCCCAGCACTTTGGGAGGCCGAGGCAGGCAGATCATGAGGTCAGGAGATTGAGACCATCCTGGCTAACATGGTGAAACCCTGTCTCTACTAAAAATACAAAAAAATTAGCCGGGCGTGGTGGCAGACGCCTGTAGTCCCAGCTACTCGGGAGGCTGAGGCAGGAGAATCGCATGAACCCGTGAGGCGGAGCTTGCAGTGAGCCGAGATCATGCCACTGCACTCCAGCCTGGGTGACAGAGTGAGACTCCGTCTTAAAAAAAAAAAAGAAAAAAGAGAACAAAAATTATACATCCCAAGGTAAAACTAAACTACAATTTCAGAGGATGAAAATATAAAATAGAACAAAGAAGCAATCATCATAAAGGTCAGGCTGTGATTTTATGTGGGGAAGGGAAGCCTTTATCACTGAGCTGGGGCAAATGATGGTTTCTGGGCTGGCTGACAAACTTCTATATCTCTGGTGGTTAAAGGGTGTTTATCTTTTATTATTATTATTTATTATTATTATTAAAGGGCAACATTTTCAGACAGTTTTTCTTTTTGGGTACCTGTTTTATTTTATGGCAAAAAGCTAATGAAGAATAAAATAATTTATAGGTCATGATTACTGTTTTGCAGAAAGCCTACTCTCCACACCCCTCTCCAGACACTGAGCTCCCAAAACAAGTGGCAGCACCAGGACCCCCTGGCAGGGCCACCTCACTTCTGGGTGTGTTCATGTCACTGGAGGCAATGTCCCAGGTCTATTCCTTGATGCCTGGAAGAACCTGATAGGAGACAGTTGAGGGGAAGCCTTCTCTGTCACCTGCAGGTTCTTGGCTGTCACTGTAGAGGGAGCGGGTCCTCACTTCTCCCACAGGCCGGATCACAGCCAGAACCTCCTCCCTGCATGGGGAGTGAGGCTTGATCCTTTCCCTGAATACAGTGACAGAGATCTCTGTGTCATCACATGAAGGCTCCAACTCTTCAGGGCAGATGTTCCCTCACAGAGTCAGCCCCTGAATATTGGCGCCAGATGTCCCACCTCCATCCCTTCCCAGTCCTTTCTGTTCTGCTGTGAATCTGTCAGTCATTGGGAACTAGCAGGGAAAGGGAACAAGGAGGGGAGATTGCTTTGATGCTGGGTCAAGGCATTGAGACAGACCTCTCCTTCTCCCTGAACCTTACACTTTATCCGCTCCCAGACGCATGAAATAAAACACAGACCAGAAATGTCTATTTAAAGAGTAAACATTTACGGTATAAATTATGCACACATAATAGTAGACACAGAGTAATGCATAACGGTGTGACGGGGCGAGGGGACCTCAAGGTGACAAGAAAGCTGGTCCTGGGCTGGTCAGGAGGAGTCATCACCAAGATACTCACTCATAAAGTTCACCCATGATAATCTAATTACTGCACATGTAATATATTAAAATATATTAAAACATAAGAAAATAGGACAGGCATGGTGGCTAATATAATAAAATATATTACAATATAATAAAATAGGCCAGGCACGGTGGCTCATTCTTGTAATCCCAGCACTTTGGGATGCCAAGGCAGGCAGATCACCTGAGGTCAGGAGTTTGAAACTGGGCTGGTCAACTTGGCGAAACCCCGTCTCTACAAAAAATACAAAAATTAGCTGGGTGTGGTGGTGCCTGTCTGTAATCCCAGCTATTCGGGAGTCTGAGGTACGAGAAGTGCTTGAACCTGGGAGGCAGAGGTTGCAGTGAGCTGAGATCACACCAGTGAACTGCAGCCTGGGTGACAGAGTGAGACTCTGTCTCAAAAACAAAAACAAAAACAAAAACAAAAACAAAAACAACAGAAATAATGATACCAATTAATATGGCACTGTTAAGGGCCCCACAACCCTGTATTGGACTGAACAAAGGGCGAACGTGGGAATAAAGAGAAAGACAAAAGAGTATATTTGGAACAAGGGGTCAGGGGGCTTCTTGCTTCTCGTGAACAAGGGCTCTGATCTTCCACAGCCCTTCGTATTTATTGGTATAGGAGATAGCAAGAAGAGGGGTGGAAGAAGGAGTCAGCTGCTGGGTCCAGAGTAGGCTTGTAAGACTGCATTCCTCAAACAATAGGCTCTAGATGACCCAGTAGATAACTCCAATGAGCACCATGGAGTGAATGCCCTCAGCAAACCTTCTGTTGGCAGGAGCAGTCGTGAGTTTGCCCACATCCTGCATTCATGATAAACAATTTGCTGTTTGATCATATAGCCTCCAATGGAATGTTGAGTTGGTCATGATCCCTTTGCTGGCTCTCTACGTGGCAGAGCAGCAAACACCTCATACCTACTAACACTTTGCAGCATCCAACAACAATAAATAAGTGATGTTATTTTCTGTTTCATAGGTCAGGAAACAGAGGGAAAGTGCTGGTGAGATCCAGGCAGGGAGTTGAATCCTGGCCGCCTGGCTGTAGAGTCTAGGCGCCCTCAGTGGAACCAGTGGACCCAGTAGCTGACATCAGAGGCTGAAATCCCAGCTGTGCTGCATCCCTGTGGTCTCCTGTCCCAACTGGGTGTTGATCCAGGACCTGCAGGCTCACAAGCTCTGGAGAAGAGGGAAACGGGTAAATGCCCCACTGGGTGCAGTGTTGTGTTTATTCCCTAAGGACTTTTCTCTCTTCAGTTGCCCCAAAATCAGATTCACCCTTTCTCTGAGAGAAGATGAGGCCCCCACTTTTTTCTTCCTCCCTCCTTGCTTTTCCCAGCCCCTGTCAGTTCTCTCCCATCACTCCATCAACATCAGCCCCTGTCCTGTGCCCACCACTCACCGTGCAGGGAGTGAAAGGGCCCCAAGACAAAAGGACAAGACCCAAGAGGGAACCCAGTGCCCTCCTCTCAGGCCTGACCAGTCCTGTTACAGTGAGAGGCCTCCCCAAAGAGAGGCCCTGACCCTTGCTCTCAGTCCCCAGGCCCTCCTCTCCTGCAGAGGCACCTGCACACCAGGGCAGGCCCTGCCCACTGTGGGCCCTGCCCTCTATCTGCAGCTCAGCACTCCTCCCCTCCCAGCCCTGAGCAGGCAGCTCCTAACTGGGGACCCCATCAGGAAGCCTGGGGGGCCCAGCAGGCCCAGCATGGAAAGACATGGCTGCCACAGGATCTGCACCTGACATGACCCTGGGACCCCCCACCTTGCTCGAGGAGGCCTGGCCTCCCATGACCTTCAGCACCCACCTAGGCCTGTGACCTGCTGTTGAGTCACTACTGCTCCTGCCTGGTCCACTTACTCCTGGTCCACTTACTTCACCCCAGAGCTGCTGCTTGGTGAGGCTGCGAGGCCTTCCTGCTCTGTCCCTAGCAGGGATTCCACCCAGGCCACTGCCCTTGCAACCTACAAGGACTTTTCTCCACGTGGAGTAGGGGAGACCCCTTAGCCTGAGGCTGCCTCTGCCCACCCTCTGCACCTGGGAACCGCCGCTGCCACAGCCACCATCTCCACACAGACCCTTCTGGAGAGGGGGCTCCAAATTTGAGTTCCTGTTTTATTTAATATGCTTTACAACAGCAGTATTAGAGGAAATCCTATTAAGATTATAGAGCTGAAATTACGAACATCTTTATTGGACATCAACATTGAAAGCAGGAATTTTGATAAACTGGCACATGAATTTCATACCCTTTTCCTGGCCAAAACCCCAGTGACCTACGAGGAAACCATTCCTGCCCACAGGGAACCAGAAGTGACAATCCCTCCACGGGAGACGCCGCAGGTGAGAGCAGGAGTGACCACAGACCTGCACTGCCCCTGCTGTGGGTGCCTCCTGGACAGGGCCCTCTTGCTGCAGGGCAGGGGACGAACCTTCCCATCTGCTCAGGCATGAGGGGCCGACTGACAGTGCAATTAGGTTCAAGGATGAGAAACCAGCGCCCCTACCGCCAGACTCAGGTCTCCTGGACACCCCAGCCTCTCACTGTCCCCTGCACTGCCTCTGTTTTTGCAGAAACACAAAACTTCTGCTGTCTCTTTTCATCCCCCATCAAACAACCTGACTGTGGGGGAAATGCTTCTGACCGTCCCTTACTCCAAACTTACCAGGCAGTGACCACCTTGAGAAAGGGAAATTGGCTCAGGGAGGGCAAGGTAAGGCCACAGAGCACAGAACAAAGCCTCAAAGAGATGGCGCCTGGGGACTGTGTCCCTCAGGGACTGCAGAAGAAAACACGCTGGAGGTAGGATGAAAACAGGGACCACATCTGCCCTGATGAGGGGCTGGGCCCCGCTCCTCAAATGGCCCAGGGACATCTGCTTATCTATTCATCTGTGTCATCTGCAAGGAAACTCAGGGAGGCCAGGTGGTGGGAACCTGGAAAGTGCCTCCTGGAGGAGGCACACGGGTGGGCACCGCCTCTCCTTGGATTCCTCTCCAGTTTCTGGCCCTCCCCAGATCACAGCCACCTTTACTATTTCCTCCCTCTGACACCATGATCATCCAGGCCCTCAGCAATCAGCACGTGATTCCCAACTCACCCCACCTGGACGCACCCTAGTGAGCCCGAGAGACAGAGAGGCTGGGATGGGGACAGAGCAGGTGCCACAGCCCTCCCTGCTGCCCACTCCTCACTTGCAGCAGGAGGAGGCCACAGCTGGATATTCGAAGGCCTTGCCCCAGCCCTGGCTTGAGAAGCACTTATGGGTGTAGATGGAGATGCAGCTCCCATTCCCCTCCCAAATACCCCAGCTTCCATCCCCTGTTCCAGCAGCCTTGTCACCTACGTCTTGTCTGGGCAGGAGCAATGAGGAGACCCTACTGCCTAGAAAGGAGCTTTCCCATCTCCAGAAACTGTCCCCTTTTCTCACCTGGACCCTCTGCCGCTGATGTTTTCTTCTTGCAACAAGGGACACAGAGAATAATAATAATAACAAAACATGGCATAGCAGCAGAAACATATGGAAAGTCTGTCCGTTGACTCTGAAGCACCAGCGCCTTCCCTGAAAAAAAGGGACTTGTTATACACTGGGCAGAGAGCCACAGCCGTCCCTGCTGTTCCTACCCTGGCCTGACCCTCTCCAGGGTCACCCCAGGCTCACCAGAGGGCACAGGGTGAGTGCCGTGATTCCCGCTGTGTTCCATGTAGCAGGTGAACCTCTGCTCCTCTCCTTGGCGAATCCTGGTGGCCACCCAGGTCTGGTAGGTTCCATTCCCATCAGGCAGGACATCCCCCCACTGCTGGGTGTTGTGGCTCAAAGATACCCCATCCTGACGCCAGGTCAGTGTGATATTCCGGGGATAGAAGCTGGAAGCCCTGCATGTCACGGTGATGTTGCCCTCTGAGACCTCGCTGCAGGTGACATTCACCATGGGGGGCACTGGAGAAGAAAGGGCAGAGCCAGTGAAGCCCTGCTCCCCTCTAAGGGAGATGCAGGGAACAGGGCTGCTCCTCTCCACTGTTCTCACTCTGGCTGAATCCCTCACAGATCCCGGACCTTCTGTAAGTCTGTCCTCACCCTGGGGCCTAATTCCTCCAGGCTAGCAGGAGGATGGGCCTTGGGACTGTGGCCTCAGGCTCTGGGATCCCCACATTGATGCTGAGGAGGGGGATGTCAAGGGTGGACTCCTGGGTCATGGGGCCAGGAGGGAACTCTCCGGGATGGGCAGGCCGGGAGGCAGAGGGGGCAGCCCTGGCCCTGAGGGCTTCCTCTCCTGCCTAACTCCCACCCCAGGCTCAGGCTTCTGTCAGAGGGCCCACTGCTTTCCCAGATTACAACACTGGACAGTTCAGTCCCAGACCCACTGTCTTTATCCAATGGCTCTAACAGGAGAGGCAAATCAGGACACAATATGCCAACAGGAAACGCCTGCATCCATAGCACAGGGAGGGTTTCCCCGGACAGAGCTGGGAGGCGAGGCAACTCTAGCAGAATTGCGGGAACAGTAGAGCCCCTGGCCAGGGTCGGTACCTGTTCTCCTGATGGCCACCCCGGATTTCAGATATCGCTGTAGTTTCTGCAGGCAGTCTGCCTGCATAGCGCGATAGTGTGTCTTGGTCTTCATGGCATCTTCCTTCCAGAAATTTGTGACGTTCATAGCCAAGGTCTGAGCTCTGGAGGACTGGGGCACTGTCGATTCTTGAGTCTCCAGGTTTTGGGAGAGGAAGAGCTCCCCATCGTAGTAGAAATGCCGGGAGCCCCTGGTGCTGCTGTCTTCATGGATCTCACAGACCCTAATCTCCTGGAGGGAATGCAAGCCTGCCCCCACCCAGCAGTGACTTCTCCATTCCCGAACCCATCACCTTTCCACCCAAGTGAGGAACTCAGCCCAGCGGCGACCCCTCCCTGGCCCTCCTCCATGCCTCCCTGTGTGGGCTGAGTTCCGGCTCACCACCCTGCTGAGCCTCCCTGACCCTATTCCTCATCCCCACCCCCAGCCAGATCCAGCGGGAAGAGACAGGTCCCTGCTCTCTGTCTCCAACTTTCCTGGAGAAGGCCTCCCATTACTCTTGCCCCTGCCGACTCTCACCTCCTTTCTGGTCCTTGATATGAGTCAGGGTCCTCCTGAGGTCTTGCCCATTCTCTGTCAAGTCCTCGGTCTCTGTGTCCCAGGTCTTAGCTCCCAGGACATCTTCTGCCCACTGTCCCTGGGGCTTTGCCCTGCGTTTCTGCCTGTCATAGCGCAGGAAGGGCTGACCATCCAGATGTCCCTCAGCGAGAAACCCTGACTGCACAGATCCATCCTGGGACAGCACCATGAGGTTGTAACGAAGACTGTGGGGCTCTGGGGAAGAGGAAATCACAGGTGAAACTTCTTCCTGGAAATAACTTCACATTGATGTTTAACACACAGGTCTGCTGTCCCGACCTCCCTGAGGAGGCAGGAAATGCACATGGGCAAAAGGACAAGAACGAAGATTTCATATACAAGGAAAACTGTGAGGGTGGGAGGATAGAGGAGGGGGCTGATGAACAGAAGAAGGGGGAATGAAGATGGCAAACTTGTAGGTCAGGTGCCAGGACTGGGTGGCCACAAGCCCCCTAAGGGAATAGGGGCCAAGGGGAGAGGCTGCCCTGCAGGGGCAAGGGAGGAGCATGAAGGCAGTGGTGGAAGGAAGGTCTTGCCAGAGGGGACAGTGGGAATGGGAAGGGACTCAGGCTCAGAGGGACCCATGTCCAGTGTGGCTGTGGTGCACAGGTGAGGGTGAGATGGAGGCAAGGGGAGCTGCCTTGAGAAAAGACTCATCATGGGCATGGTGGGGACAAGGGAGGGGGTGGTCATGAGGCACAAGGGGTAGGAAGGTTGTAGCCCTAGAGAAGTTTATAGTGGGGTCAGTATCCCAGAGGGGAGCAACGGTGTGGGCTTGGGTCCAAAGTGGAAGAGTGGCATGACAAGGCCCCAGGACAGCAATTGGATGGAACAGCTAGTGTCCACTGGGGTGGGCAGGTGACAGGGTCTCAAAGAGTAAGTCCATCTTTTCAGCAAATAGTGCTGGGGGAACTGGATGTTCAAATAATATAAAATTGGACCCTTAATTTGTACTATATACAAAAATTAACTCAAAATGAATCAAAGACCTAAACTCTAAACTCAAGAACTAAAACATAAAAATATCTTAGAAAAAAACATTGGGTATAATGTTCATGACATAGGGTTTGACAGTGCTTTCATGGATATGACGCCAAAGCACAGATAGAATAGAAAGAACTGACAAACTGGACTCATGAAAAATTCAAAATATCTGTGCATCAAAGGGCACAATCAGAGTGAGAAAGCAATCAACCCCTGAAATGAAATAAATATTGCAAGTCATATATCTGATAAGAGATTAGTTTCCAGAAGGCCAGGCGTGGTGGCTCAAGCCTGTAATTCCAGCACTTTGGGAGGCCGAGGCGGGTGTATCACCAGGTCAGGAGATTGAGACCATCCTGGCTAACATGGTGAAACCCTATCTCTACTAAAAATACAAAAAATTAGCCGGGTATGGTGGCGGGCGCCTGTAGTCCCAGCTACTCGGGAGGCTGAGGTGGGAGAATGGCATGAAGCTAGCGGGCGGAGCTTGCAGTGAGCTGAGATCGTGCCACTGCACTCCAGCCTGGGCAACAGAGCAAGACTCCATCTCAAAAAAAAAAAAAAAAAAAAAAAAAAAGAAAAAGAGAGACATTAGTTTCCAGAATATGCAAAAAAGTTTGACAAAAACAACAAAACAGTCAACCCACTCAAAAATGGGCAAAATAGCCATGAGAAGCTATGTGGGGGAGAAAAATGGGCAAGACTTCAATGGCCAATTCTTCAAAGAAAATATACAAATGATCAATAAACACATGAAAAGATGCTCAATATCAGTACTTATTAGGAAAATGCAAATCCAAACCACAACGAGATACCACTTCAAACCAATCAGGGTGGCTATTATCATACACACACACACACACACACACACAAACAGCAAGTTTGGCAAGGAGGTAGAGAAACTGAAGCCCCTGTATACTGCTTCTAGAAATACAAAATGGCACGCCTGCAATGGAAAACACTATGGTGATTCCTCTAAAAATTAAAAAATGAAATACCGTATGATCCAACAATTCTATTTCTGGATATATACCCAAAAGAAATACTCAAAAGAAATAAATATATACCCAAGAGAAATGAAATATTTGCCAATATCCAAAAGGTAGAAGTAACCCAAGTGTCCATTGTCCGAGGAATGGATAACCAAGATGTGGCACATACATATAATGAGTATTATTCATCATTAAAAGGAATGAAAATCTGACCCATACTACAACCTGGATGAACCTCGAAATATTATAAGTGAAATAAGCCAGAATCAAAAAGACAAACATTACACGATTCTACTTAAATGAGGTACCTAGAGTGGTCAAATTCATAGAAACAAAAAGTAGAATGATGGTTACCAGGGGCCAGAGGTAGGGAGGAATGGGGAGTTACCGATTAATGGGTACAGAGTTTTGGGTTGCACAAAAATGTGAATGTATCTAATGCCACCGAGTATACACTTAAAAGTGGTTAAAACAGTAAAATTTATGTAATGTATAATTTACCACAATTAAACGTTTAAAGAACAAGAAATATCAGTCCTATTCAAATTGTTCTGAAAAACAGAGGAGGAGGGAATACTTCCAAACTCATTTTACAAAGCCAGGAATATCCTGATATCAAAATCAGGCAAAGACACATCAAAAAAAGAAAACTACAGGCCTATATCCCTGATGAACATTGAGGCAAATATCATCAATGAAATACTAGCAAACCACATTCAACAGTATATTAAAAAGTTCATTCTTCATGACCAAGTGGAATGTATTCCAGGTATGCATACACAAATCAATCAATGTAATACATCGTATCAACAGAATAAAGGACAAAAGCCATATCACCATTTCAATTGATACTGAAAAAGCATTTGATAAGTTTAACATCCCTTCATGATAAAAACTCTAAAAAAACTGAGTATACAAGGAACAGACCTCAATATAATAAAAGCCATATATGACAACTCACAGCTAGTAACATACTGAATGGGGGAAAACTGAAAGCCTTTTCTTTAAGATCTGGAACAAGACAAGGATGACTACTTTCACTACAGTTATGCAACACAATACTGCCAGTCCTAGCTAGAGCAATCTGACAGGAGAAGGAAATAAAGGGCATCAAAATTGGAAAAGAAGAAGTCAAATTATCCTTGTTTGCACATCATGTGGTCTGATATTTGGAAAACCTAAAGACTCCACCAAAAAACTATTAGAACTGAAGAACAAATTCAGTAAAGTTGCAGGATACAAAATCAACATGCAAAAATCAATAGCATTTCTATGTGCTAACAGCAAATAATCTGAAAAAGAAATCAAGAAACGAATCCCATTTTCATTAGCTACAAATCAAATAAAATACCTAGGAATAGACTTAACTGAAGAAGTGAAAGATCTCTCCAATAAAAACTATAAAGCACTGATGCAAAACATTGAAGAGGACACAAAAAATGGAAAAGGCATTCCATGTTCATGGACTGGAAGAATCAATGTTTATTTTTATTTTCTGAGATGGAGTTTTGCTCCTGTTGCCCAGGCTGGAGTGCAATGGTGCAATCTCAGCTCACCACAACCTCTGCCTCCTGGGTTCAAGCGATTCTCCTGCCTCAGCTTTCCTGAGTAGCTGGGATTACAGGCATATGCCACCACGCCTGGCTAATTTTGTATTTTTAGTAGAGGCGGGGTTTCTCCATGTTGATCAGGCTGGTCTTGAACTCCTGATCTCAAGTGATCCACCTGACTCGGCCTCCCAAAGTGCTGGGATTACAGGAGTGAGCCACCGTGCCCAGCCGGAAGAATCAATTTTGTTAAAATATCCATCCTACCCAAAGCAATCTACAAATTCAATGCAATTGCTATCAAAACACCAATGACATTCTTCACAGAAATAGAAAAACAATCCTAAAATGTATATGGAATCACAAAAAACCCAGAATAGATAAAGCTACCCTGAGCAAAAAGAACAAAACTAGAGGAATCACATTATCTGACTTCAAATTATACTACAGAGCTAGAGTAATCAAAACAGCATGGTAGTGGCATAAAAACAGACACACGGACCAATGAAACAGAATAGAGAACCCAGAAACAAATCCATATATCTACAGTGAAGTTATTTCTAACAAAGTTACCAAGAACACATACAGGGCAAAGGAGAGTCTCTTCAATAAATGGTGCTGGGGAAACTAGATATCCTTATGCAGAAGAATGAAACTGGACCATATCTCTCACCACATATAAAAATCCAATCAAAAAGTATTAAAGATGTAAATCTATGACCTCAAACTATGAAAACTATAAAAGAAAACATTGGGGAAACTCTCTAAGATATTGGACTGGCAAAGATTTTTTAAGTAATACCCCACAAGCACAGGCAACCAAAGTAAAAATGCATAAATGGGATCATATCAAGTTAAAAAGCTTCTGCACAGCAAAGGAAACAATAAACAAAGTGAAGAGACCATCCAAGAATGGGAGAAAATATTTTCAAACTATTCATCTGACAAAGGATTAGTAACCAAAACATATAAGGATCTCAAACAACTCTATAGGAAAAATATCTAATAATCCAACTTAAAAATGAGCAAAAGATCTGAATAGTCATTTCTCAAAAGAAGACATACAAATGGCAAACAGGTATATCAAAAGGTGCTCAACATCATTCGTCATCAGATGAAGGCAAATCAAAACTCCTACGAGATATCATCCCACCCCAGATAAACTGGCTTTTATCCAGAAGACAGGCAATAAGGAATCCTGGCGAGGATGTAGCAAAAGAGAACCCTTGTACACTGTTGGTGGGAACGTAAACTAGTATAACCACTGTGGGAAATAATGTGGAGGTTCTTCCAAAAACTAAAAATATAACAGAGCTGTCATATGCTCCAGCACTCCCACTGTTAGGCATATACCCAAAAGAAAGGAAATCGGTATATTAAAGAGCTATCTACTTTTCCATGTTTATTGCAGCACTATTCAAAATAGCCAAGATCTGCAAGCGACCTAAGTGTCCATCAACAGACGAATGGAGAAAGAAAATGTGGTGCACACGTGTATGTGGAGTACTATTCAGCCACCATGTCATTTGCAAAGAACTGGAGGTCATCATGTGAAGTGAAATAAGCCCCAGGCCCAGACAGACAAACTTTGCATGTTCTCACTTATTTGTGGCAGCCAAAAATTAAAACAATGGACCTCATGGGGAGAGACAATAGAATGACGATTACCAGAGGCTGAGAAGGGTAGTGGGGAGTGGGGGAGTGCGGATGGTTAATGGGTACAAAAATATAGTTAGAATGAATAAGATCTAGTAGATAGCACAGCAGGGTGAGTACAGCCAACAATAATTTATTGTACATTTAAAAATAACTGAAAGAGCATAATGGGATTGTTTGTAGCACAAAGAAAGGATAAATGCTTGTTGTGATAGATAACCCATTTACCCTGATGTGATTATGACATATTGTAGGCCTGTGTCAAAATATCCCATGTACCCCATAAATATATACATACATATCTACTACGTACCCACACAAAAGTTAAAAATTAAAAACAAAGCAAGGGGTGGGGGTGCTGGCCAGAGAGAGAAAACCAAGGTGGAGGGGGAGATTCTCAGCCTGAGGAAGGACCTGCCAAAAGGAGTAATGCTGGAGGGGGAGCAGTGGCACCCCAAGAGCAGGCAAAACAGATTTTAGATATGCGGTGTGGGGAGTGAGAGCCCACTGGGGTCAAGGAACCAAAAGAAAAGAAGGAAGGTCAAGGAACAGCTGGCCCAACAGCCTGTTTTAGGTCTGGGTTGGGGAGGGGAGATGGGCAGAGCAAGAACTGGAGGGCGGCATGAGCATGGGGCAGGAGTGACTGTGGGAGAACTTGGGGTAGGGTGAGGACAGGAGGGGAGGGTGCTCTGGGGGAGGGTGGGGCTTGGGAAAGATTCTCAGCACTGTCATATGCTCCAGCACTCCCACTTTCCCACTGAAAGATGAGAACTTGCTGAGGGCCCCAGGCAGCTGGGCAAGAGACAGGAGCAGCACAAGGTCCCAAGGTGGAGAGGGGCGGAGGGACCAGGGAGGGATGGTCCAGCATCTGTGGGCTGGAGGGTGGGGTCCTCAAGAGGGTGAGGCTGAGGATGAAGGAGTGGGGAAGGGGCCACAATGAGGCAGGGCCCAGAGCAGGCACCTGCACTGGAGGGGAGGGGGCATCTGCGCTGCCCTGCGCCCTGCCTAAGGCCCAACTGCCATTAGCATCAGGGCTCTCCTTGGGGGTCTGGAGGGGAGTGGGATGGAGGGAAGACCCCCCCCGGACAAAAGGCAGCACCAGAAAGTTAGAGTCAGGGACATTTGGGAATGGGGAGGCATAGGGGCAGCACGGAGTGAAGGCTGCTTGCAGGAAAGGCCCATAAAGGAGGCAGGAGGGACCTTCAGTGGCGGGGGCGGGGGATGAAGGCAGAGGACACCCTAGAAATGGATCAGAGAACAGCACACAGGAAGGGGTAGCAGGGAGCTGGGAGAACAACAGGACCCAGGGCGCCGTAAGATGGGCAGGGAGGAGGTGAGAGGGAATCTGGTGTCCTTAGATCATTGGTCATTAGTAGGGGTGGGATGCGAGAGAGGAGAGGACCCTCGGAGCCGGAGGCGAGGGGAGAATGAGCTGGGGATGACAGAAGTCGCAGGAAGAATCCTCTGCCCGGAGCCTGCAGACTCCAACCCCTCAGCTTGAGAGTCAGGACCCCCCACAGTCCCCACAGCAGCAAGAAGCACCACCTCCGGGTCCCAAGAAAGGAGGGCCCCAACTCCAGGAGCTGCGGCCCAGGAGCTGAGAACACATCGGCTCCGGGAGAGGACAGGACTTCAGGGAGCTGAGATCCGCCCCCAGCACCGGGGGAAGTGGCTGCCTCAGCGGCCGCGCTGGAACGGCCTTCCAATGCCATTCACAGGAGCAGCCCGGGAACCCAGGGGCCTCAGAAGGACTGGTTTGTCCGAAAAGTGAGAGGAGACGGAGGAGAGGCGAGGAGAGCAAGTGCAGGAGGAGACCAGAAAATGCGGGTGATGCGCGATCCCGAGGAGGACTGAAAGGAGACGGGAGGTCGGGCGCGGTGGCTCACCTCTGTAATCCCAGCACTTTGGGAGGCCGAGGCGGGCGGATCACGAGGTCAGGAGATCGAGACCATCCTGACTAACACGGTGAAACCCCATCTCTACTAAAAACACAAAAAATTAGCCGGGCGTGGTGGCGGGCGCCTGTAGTCCCAGCTACTAGGGAGGCTGAGGCAGGAGAATGGCGTGAACCCGGGAGGCGGAGCTTGCAGTGAGCCAAGATCGCGCCACTGCACTCCAGCCTGGGCGACAGAGACTCCGTCTCAGAAAGAAAAAAAAAAAAAAAAAAAAAAAAGAGACGGGAGATGGGAAAGCAGGGCTGAGGTGTGGCGGGAACAGGCGGCGTCCAGCTCCCTGCACTCCAGACAGCACACCTGAGCCCCGCCCTGACCGCACAGCGCTCGCGGCAACCCACCCGGACCCCCGGAAACGCCCCGCCGCTCCCGCTCCGCCGGGGACCGCCAGGAACCCCACTCACCAGCGGCGGCTGCCGGGGGTGCAAAAGGGAAGGCGACGGCCAGAAACAGCAGGACCCGGCCCAGCCCCATGGCCCCTACGTCGCCACCTTCTCAGCTGCTCAGCAGTGGCCAACTGAATGAAACCGGTGAGAAGACCCCGTCGAAATTTAGTCACCTGCGCCCCGCTCAGCGACCGCTTATCCAGTGAAAACTGAGGCCCGGAACTTAGGGCCAATCATGAATGGAGAGGGCGGGGTCACGTTCAGAAGAGAAAATTCTAGCGGCCTGGAGACCTGGGGAAATTTAGAAGGCGGGACCTGGCGGCCAGAAAAGGTGGAGCGTGCGCGAGCGCAGCCAAAATCAAGGACCAGCCCCGAGTAGCTGAGAGTACAGCTCCAACCTTATGAGCACGACCTGGACCCTGTCGCCCTCCCTGCATCGCGACCACCCCATCCCCGCATTCCCACCCCCAAGGAGCGCGGGCTTCACCAAGCCCCTTTCGCCGGTCCTCCCATCAGGCCGGCTCTCACTGGCTTGTTCCTTCCGGGACAGACAACGCGTGGTTTTTCTCCCAATACACTCCCTCAACCGCGCACAGCGTTACTGCAATGAGACCAGTGACCAGATTTGCAGACCTGTTTCCAGATCTCAGCCGCCTCTGCCTTTCAGAAGCACTTGCCCCAGTAGAAACGCTCAGATCACAAATTCTCTTAGACGTTTCAGCTATATAATCTCCTTCTCCTCCCTTCGACTCAAAGCCAGGTCCCCCCTTTCACCCCCTTATATCCTCTAAGTGTCTGAGGTCTCCCAGGGCCCCCTCTCTATTCAGTTCCTGGGTAATCACAGGGCCAACGAGGCGGCTCCCCATGGTTCATTACAACACCAAGCTCTCTCCAGACTCCCTTTTCCAGCCTGTTTTAGGACATCTGTACCTCTGGGACCATAGTCCCCTTCAATGTGACAGATCTACAAGGACTCTCTACACGTCTCCCACCACATCATCCTCTCTTCCTCCTCAGTTTCTCTTAAGAACTTCACCATCCTTGGTCCCTTCTGATTTCCTCTTTCCCCTTCATCTCCGGGAGTCAAAGTCAGCTCCTTCAACACTATTTCAATCCCACAGCCACAATGTTAGTCTAGGCGTTCCCCTCCCTTCAGCCTGGATTACTGCACAGGCTTCCTAAACACTGTGCCTGCCTCAGTTACAACCAGAGTGCTCCAAGCCACCCACAGCGCCCCATCTGCTGAATGTCACAGATGGTGGATGCTTCTACTCTACCATGGAAACCATAGCTCCCACAATCTATTGTCTGGCACCACCTCCATTTCTCTGGTGACATTTCCCCAGGGTTGCAGTAAACGTGGGCTCTGGGATCTCCTCACCCTATCCCACCAGGATGCCACTGCCTAAGCAGTCTCCCTCTTCCAGGTTACTGTCACCTCTGCCTTGGAACCCATCAGACCACAGCATATCCTCAAAATCTTCCCAATTAGGCTGGTCTGAGTGCAGTGGTGTTTACAACTAATTGATCACAACCAGTTACAGATGTTTTTGTTTCATCTTCACTCCCACTGTTTCACTTGACTAGCCTTTAAAAAAAAAAAAAAAGGAAAAAGGGTCCGGGCACGGTGGCTCACGCCTGTAATCCCAGCACTTTGGGAGGTCGAGGTGGGCAGATCACGAGGTCAGGAGATCGAGAGCATCCTGCTAACACAGTGAAACCCCGTCTCTACTGAAATTACAAAAAACTTAGCTGGGCGTGGTGGCGGGCACCTGTAGTCCCAGCTGCTCAGAAGGCTGAGGCAGGAGAATGGGGTCAACCCGGGAGGCAGAGCTTGCAGTGAGCTGAGATTGCGCCACTGCACTCCAGCCTGGGCAACAGAGCAAGGCTCCGCCTCAAAAAAAAAAAAAAAAAAAGAAAAAAAGGAAGAAAATCTTCCCAAGTAGATAGTGGTGACGGTGGCACAACCTTGTGATTATGCTAGAAGCCACTGATCTGTACACTTTAAAGCGATAAATTATGTGTGGCATATGAATTCTCAATTCTCAATAATAAGAATTCTGTCTGGAAAGCCTCTTTCTACTAAGAGAATTGGCTTGTCCCCAGCGCACATTCTTAGTCATTGGGACATCTAGGCGGTGGTCTTCAAACCTAGCCACTGCGTAGAACCACCTGGAGAGTTTTTAATATCCATGTTCCCAGGCCACAGCCACAACCAGTTAAATCAGTAAACCTAGGTTGGACCTAAACCTTAGTATCTTTTAAAGTTCCCTACGTGATTCCGATGTGTAGTCAAGTTTTAGAACTACTGATCTAGCCCATGGTTTGAACCTTCCTGATGGTACCGACTGTGCCCTGTCTTGAATCTTATTTTTTTTCATTTATTTTATTTTATTTTTTTAAGAGAGGAGTCTTGCTGTGTCACTCAGTTGGAATGCAGTGGCGTGATTATAGCTCACTGCAGCCTCAAATGTCTGGGCTCAAGCAATCCTCCCACCACAGCCTCTTGAGTAGCTGGGACTACAGGCGAGTGCCACACACCCAGCCATCACCTACCATCTTCTACCCTCCTCCCCCATTAGACTATGAACCCTCCAGGATCAGGAACTGTGTCCATTTCTTTTTTGTTGGCCTCACAACCTTTTTTTTTAAGTTCAACTAACCCTGTCATTACTAACTATTCCCCTATCATCCCTAGCCTACACTTTTCTGTGGATGAAAATGTAATGTACTCGAGAATTTTAACAATTTCTTAGTCTTCCCATACACATTCACTGATAATTTATTTTGATCCTCATAATTTATTAAGCACAGCAGGGACTGGGGTCCTGTCCCCACCTTAGAGAGATTATTTTCGCTGCTAAAGATCATAAGCATAGTTTGAGACAGAGAGGGAGATGGACCCAGCTCTCCTGACACAGGTCCCAAGCCCTTCCTTCCACGGTGACTACCCTCCCTCCAGGACTTCCTCCGTGTGCCAGCTCCAGCAAAGGGTCTCATTCAGCTCGCCTCCAAAAAAGACTTTTAATAGTTCAATAATAATAATGAATATTTAAGGTTTGTTCTAAGGCATTTAGAAGCGGTTTCAGGGAGACATGAAGCCAGTCCTCCCCTGGGCTAGGGGAGGCCAAGATGGTCTTGAGCTCCAGGGGAGTTGCTTCTCAGCGCCGAGGCCTGGGTCCCCTCCCCCACCAAGCCTCCCAGGTCTTCTGTTCAAAGCTCTCCCCCTCCACCCCACCTCCAGCCCCCTCTGCTCTGCCCCATCAACTATGTTTTCTCCCTCAGCACTTGCCTTAGATCCCTGGACTCAGGGACTAAGTCCTCGCAGGACTTCCTCCTCGCAGACTTTAGGCGCCACTGCAGGGTCCGGAAAAGAAAGAGAAACGGCCCAGCGCGGTCGCTCACAAAATTCAGGGCGGGGCTGCCCTCGGCGCCCGAAAGCTTTTTGTTTTTTGTTTTTTTTTTTTTGAAACTGAGTTTCGCTCTTGTTGCCCAGGCTGGAGTGCAGTGGCGCGATCTCGGCTCACAGCAACCTCCGCCTCCCGGGTTCAAGTGAGTCTCCTGCCTCAGCCTCCCGACTAGCTGGGATTACAGGCATGCGCCACCATACTCGGCTAATTTTGTATTTTTAGTAGAGGCGGGGTTTCTCTATGTTGGTCAGGCTGGTCTGGAAATCCCGACCTCAGGTGATCCGCCCGCCTCGGCCTCCCAAAGTGCTGGAATTACAGGCTTGAGCCACCGCGCACGGCTTTGCCCGCAAGCGTTTTGAATTTTGTGGCCCGGAATTCACTGCGAGGACTGGGATCACCCATCACCCTTCCCTGGTCTACGGAAAATGAAACGTGTTTACTGATACAGAAACGGAATAACGGCACTTTGGGCTGGGGAGGGCCGAGCTGCCTCAGGCTTCTGGTCTCCAGCTGCGCGGCACTCACACCTGCCGCTGTGAAAATGCAGACCCGCGGGGCAGGAATTCCGAGTCCAGGCTGGAGCGCGATCTGGAATCTGACTCGCTGGAAACAGCACCGCGGTGGATTCGGACCTGGGTGAGTAGGGAACTGCGCCTCAGCCCCTCCCGCAGGCCGCCCACAGATTCCGGGGTCCGAAAACACTTCACCCCTGGAAGGCAGCGCCCGCCTCTGGGCGGTTCTGATGGAAACGGGCTCCACCGCCCGCAGGAAAACCCACAACTAAGGGGCCAGGAAAAAGCCTCTCAGGGTCCCGCCGCTTCAGTGAGGATCCTAATTTACACCCCGAGTTTGGCCCCGTCAAAGACGGGAGGGACCACTGAAATGATACAAGACCAGCGCGGCCCAGGGCGCTGGGGCGCATAGAATGCTGTGACAGCGCCGCCTCGCGTCCCTTTTCTGACCTGCCCCAGGCGGACGCGGTGAAGTGTGTTGGCCTGGAGGCTGGAATACACCGGGGATCAAGTGCAGAGAGTGGTGAAAGGAGGGAAGGATAGGGGGACGTGTTAAGAAAGGAGGGAAGAGATAGGAAGAAAAGGGGAGAGAAAAAGTAAAGGAGAGATAAAATTTAAAAGACGTAGTTTTATTATTTATTTTTGCCCTTTATCTAGTTTTACTTATGAACATTTTTACTATAGCTTTCTCTCTTTCTGAATCTGTAAATATACTGCTATTATTGTTATTTCAGAGCCTGTGAGGGTAAGTTGCAGACAGCATGACCCTCTACCTCCAGATGAGTCAGGGTGTGTCTCCTGGGCACAAGAACAGGGTTTTTGTTTTGTTTTGTTTCACATAAGCAAAGTACAAATCTCAAAGACGATAATATTTTTAAATCATCATATTGGGACATACTTTGCATGCAATAAACTGCATCTATTTAAAGTGTTCAACTTGTTGAATTTTAGCTGTTGTACACACCCACATCTCCACTACCACAGTGAAGATAAAGAACATTTCAATTGTCTCCCAAAGAAGAGTTATATTATAAAATTCTATACAGTCATTAAAAAGAGTAAGATCGCTTTTAAGTATTGCTATGAAAAGAAGTGCCCAGCATACTTTTAACCTTTTTTAAAAGGTTAAGGAGGCTGGGCCCAGTGGCTCACGCCTGTAATCCCAGAACTTTGGAAGGCCAAGGTGGGCAGATCACCTGAGGTCAGGAGTTCGAGATCAGCCTGGTCAATATGGTGAAACCCTGTCTCCACTGAAAATACAAAAATTAGCCAGGCATGGTGGCCGGCGCCTGTAGTCCCAGCTACTCGGGAGGCTGAGGCAGGAGGATTGCTTGAACCCGGGAGGTGGAGGTTGCAGTGAGCTGAGATCGTGCCACTGCACTCCAGCCTGGGTGAAAATGCCGCTAATATTACTTACATAATATTAATATATATTTTAAGTAGGGGAAAACCTGGAAGATTCCTCACCAAAGTTTTGACAGTGACTTCAGAGACTGGGATAACTTTGTGACTTTCATTTTCTCTGAAATGTTGGAATTTTATCTTTTAGTATAAACTTGGATTTGGGTGAGTTGCAGTGGTTCATGCCTATAATCTCAGCTCTTTGGGAATTGGAGGCAGGAGGATCGCTTGAGCCGGGGAGTTCCAGGCTGCAGTGAGCTATGATTGTGCCATTGCAATCCAGCCTGGGTGACAGGAGGAGACCCTGTCCCCAAAACAAAAATAAATAAAATTTTAAAATAATAAAAATTGTGAACTTGGATTTATGCGGACGTTAAGGAAGAGAATATTTCAATTTGAAAATACGAAGCTAAGCCCCACACCAAAATGGTTACAGAGTTTTAAAAACCAAAACGTTCTTTAAAACCCAGCACCAGAAACTCTTTCAAGAGGATCCTTCATATTTTCATGTCATTGAATCTTTCTTAAAGTGCATTTGAAAGAGATGTTTTCAGTGGAATAGAGAGATATGTAACAATATTTACAAAAGCGGTTGGCTGTAATAAAAAGGAAAACGCAAATGAGTGGGGACACAGGGGACCCTGTTCCATTTATTCTCAAAGCACGTTTGAAAACTGCGTTGCCATAGCGTCCTTGGGTGGAGACAAAGTCGAGGCAGATCTTGTTCCTGGAGTATTGATTTGATTTTGGAAACGGTCCAAGGCTTTCAGAAATCAGGCTGACTTAGATCTAAAGTCTCAAGAATGTTCGTTCTAGCAGTGAGCCTGTGAGAATCTAGCCCATCTGGGCGATGCTCTCTCTGCTTTCACCTAGTGGCAGTGGTTGGAAGGACAGGGCACAGTGATACTGCATGGGTGGGTCTGAAGCCAAGGTGAAACCGCCTTTGCAAAATTATAAGTAAGGAAATGATGACAGTGAAAGACATCAAACCTAACTCACCCTATCTTGCTTCTAACCGCTAACCTGCCCTTGTTCATTTCTGGGCATAGGCCGTACTAGCCTTGGGAAGGAATTTATAGTTTAAAGGGAAAGTGTTCTTTTAAAACGAATGAAAGGCCGCCAGCCATTAAGTTAGGATGAGAGGGGCTGGAATTCTGAATATTACCAGCCATTATTCCGGAGGTCATAAGATTTGCAACTTCCCCAGTTACTCTTGAAGGTAACATCACTATTGTGAACCTCAGAGCGGCCTTTTGAGATGTCTTTTGCATTTCTTTTTTCTTTTTCTTTCTTTTTTTTTTTTTTTTTTTGAGACGGAGTCTCGCTCTGTCGCCCAGGCTGGAGTGCAGTGGCGCGATCTCGGCTCACTGCAAGCTCTGCCTCCCGGGTTCACGCCATTCTCCTTCCTCAGCCTACTGAGTAGCTGGGACTACAGGCTCCCGCCACCATACCCGGCTAATTTTTTTGTATTTTTAGTAGAGACGGGGTTTCACCGTGTTAGCAAGGATGGTCTCGATCTGCTGACCTCGTGATCCGCCCGCCTCGGGCTCCCAAAGTGCTGGGATTACAGGCGTGAGCCACCACGCCAGGCCAGGTTTTTGCATTTCTAACAACTGGAGGACCCCATCTGGACCTGCCAACCAGTCCTGTGGCCCCCCACTCAGGAACTGACTCAGCCTAAGAGAACAGCCTCCACTCACTATGATTTCATACCGGAGCCAACCAATCAGCACTCCTGATTCACCGGCCCCCCCCATCCACCAAATTATCCTTAAAAACTGATCAGAGTTTTCGGGGAGACTGATTTGAGTAATAAAACTCTGGTCTCCCGCACGGCCGGCTCTGCATGAATTACTCTTTCTCTATTGTAATTCCCCTGCCTTGATAAATCGGCTTTGTCTAGGCAGTCAGCAAGGTGAACACACTGGGTGGTTACAAAGGGAGTCCAGGCCAGTGTGCAGGATGTGCTTTGCTGTAGTGGGGTCCGGGTAGCGGAGGAAAGTCAAGGACACTCAGGGAATAAATGGCAGAGGAAGAAGGAGCACGAGGGAGGACCCAAAGCCTCCAGACCTCTCCTTCCTTCTCTCCCTGTTAGGGTTGGAGAGGACCAGTGTGGTCCCAGGAGGGATGGCTGGTGGGGTGCAGAAAACGCCCTGGTTGCAAAGGGGCGTCACGCGCCCCACACAAGGGTCCTGGCTGTCAGCTGCTACTCATGAGTTCAAATTAGGAGGAGACTCACACGTGTCCTTTGCAAAGTAGACTCCTTATCTCCCGCTCCGGCTGGTTTCCCAAATCCATCCTGATAAAGCAGAAAAACCAAGAGCCAAATTCTGCGTGGGACCTTTCTGACAGCTGGAAGGTCCTCCCCCTCCCCATTCCTCACATGTGCCCTTCTTGCCCTGCCCCCTCCACTTTGTCTCCACTTCCTCATCCTTTTCCCTCTCCGGACCCCGCTCCTGAGTATCTCCCGCCTTCTTCAGAGGACTTCTCCTCATGAAGTACAGACTCCTCCACCTCCAGGAAAAAGAGACATAGACCACTGAGAGGGACCTGAGAAATGCCTGTGACCCCACCCCTGAGGCCAGCCTCTCCCTCAGTGCTGGCTCTGGCTGTGTGTGTGTATGTATTTTGTTTTGTTTTGTTTGTTTGTTTTTGAGACAGGGTCTCACTCTGATGGTCAAGCTAGAGCAGTGTCCCGATCACAGCTCATTGCAGGCTCCAACTCCTGGATTCAGGCAATCCTCCCACCTCAGCTTCTCGAGTAGCTGGGACTACAGACTGGAGCCACCACACCCAGTATGTGTGTGTGTGTGTGTGTGTGTGTGTGTGTGTATTTTTTTCTTTTCTTTTCTTTTTTTTTTTTTTTTTTTGTAGAGACTGGGTCTTGCTTTGTTACTCATGCTGGTCTTGAACTTCTGGCTTCAAGCAATTCTCATGCCTCAGCCTCCCAAAGTGCTGAGATTATGGGCATAAACCACAACGCCTGGCCCCTGTGTGTGTACATACAAAGTCAAAGTGCTAAACCTGGCACCTAGGAAACATCCCCACCTTGGCATTGCTTGCAACAGTCGGTATTTTGTGCACCTGTGCTTTTATTTCGGGAGCTGGGATAATTATATTCATCAGAACAGCACGGTGTCAAGGCCCTCACCCCCAGAAAGCTTAAGGGACACTGTTTTATGAAGGAGAGTGAGATTGGAGGAGCCCCTGACTCCAGGTCTCCTGATCCTTCTTACACAAAGCGATGCTGAAAAAAAGTGTAGGACACTCCATTTCCTCCTGGGACCAGACAGGGAAGCCAGAGCCACTGTGGATGTCAAATTCCAGCAAGGAAATACCAGTATAGCAAAATCTCCATGTCACATTTTAAAGCTCACACAATGGCTCAAAGAGAACCAATATCAAAAAACTGAATTCCTAGCTCAGGTGAGATCACCAAATTTGCCTGTGAGGTTTTGTGGAATCTGCAGGTAGAAAGGACATCTTTATTTAGAGCTGCAGCCCAATTGCTCCTGCATCTTGGGGCCCCTTGAAAGGACCCTCTCCCTTCAACAGTGCATAGTGAGGCCATTTCTGGGGAGAAACGTAGACTGTCCTTGGACTCCTGAGGTTTTTACACTTACTTGCTGACTCTGTGGACTTTGACTTCATCATTAAACATCTTACAACGATGTAATTTGCTTTGACTGTAAGTATAGAACAGGACACTGTTCCTGAATCAGGAAACAAGGGACTGGTGACCTGAACTGCCACCCCCCTCCCTGGTGCTCAGATGCAATGAAATTGTGAGGCAACAAATCTATGGCTAGGTAAAGGGTCAACTCCATTTCAGCAAATGTTTCAGATGTTCCTTCCCGCCTAGTAATGTTCCAGCTTTACCCCAGCCTTAATCTTTTAAAATGTATATTTTCCTTGGTGTTATTTTAAAGTAATTCGTATGTATTTATTACACTGGGTTTGTTGCAGTAAGCCACTTCGAATGTTGCTGTAGAATTAAAGTAAGCAAATAAATGTGTGGTTCTCCACGGAGTTACTAACTCTTAAAAAAAAAAGTCCAAATGTCCATTCCCAACTCAGCTTCAAGGAAAGTCTCCTCTAGACTCCACAGGGTAGAAATTCCTGTTGATGGCACCTTCAGAAGGTAAGAAAGGAACTCTTCCTCCACCATGCCTGACCCATCTTTGGGTTTTAGGCATTGGCCGACTGATAAAGGCAACTCTGAGAGTACAATCCATGTATAGATGACCGATAGTCATATAATAGGAATCTCACCACACCTGAGAGAGTGGGATAGATTCTCTCATTTTCATAGTTTGGGCATCTGAGTCCCTGAGAGCCTGAATGCCTGACATGGATTCTCCAAGAATGTTGGCCTTGAGACTCTAAAGGGCCCCGGGTCTCCTGTGAAGCCCCCTGTGCATGCACCACACCCGCAGAGGCTCCACAACGGCGGGAAGAGCACCCAGGGTCAGAGCCCAGGCGAGTTCACACTCGGGGACCATCCACATCCAGGGCGTGCAGGGGAGGGGCCGAGGTGAGAGCCCAACCCCTGCCTAGGCTGTGGTGACTGGTGGCTGCACGGGGGTCCCAGCGCTCCTGGAGCTATCATTCTTTATCTCCTGAAGACCCCGGACCCGCACATACAAAAACTCTGCATTTCTGGTGGAGCGGTCTTCTCTTTTGAGATGTAAACACTACTTCTCGAATCTTAAAGCCAGCCATTGCCACTCTAACTGCACTGAAATTAGCCTCAGAATTTCAGCTGAGCATTTGGAACCACAGGCAGGAAGTCTGTGGGATTTGTACCTGGCTGATCTGGAAGGTGGTCCTGAAAGGTAGTGTGTGACTAGGTGGGCTCTATCCTGATGAGAGGAGAACGAGACAGATGGGAAGGTTCCGAAAGTGAATTTCAGTGGGCCCTGTGCCCAGCACTAGGATTTGGAAAATCTTTTCCCAGCCACTTTTGGCCTGTGGGTTTTCATTCTGCTTTCCTGTCTGCCAAGCCATTCCAGGCAATCCCTTCATTTGGTAAACATTTATCAAATACCTACTGTGCATGGGGCATTGTTTTAAGAGGAGCTGGAACTGAGGTAAGAGGAAATAAACCCTCCTTGCCCTCAAGGCATGCCCAGTCTTGCTCAGGCAGAGATCAGTAAGGAAATCATAACACAAATTGAGAGAGAAAAAAGGAAGAAACTGGTCAGGCGGGCAGTTATGGTGGGTCCTCAGTTGAATTATTTCAAACAAAAGAACGGCCTGCAGGCACAGAGAAGGGAACTTGCACAGGGGGGCTTGCCTAAGACATGCCCACAGCTGCACAAATAAGAAAGGCTGCACAGGAGACTTGTCCAGACATGCCCGCAATGGAAAATTCTGTCCCCCGATACATGGGCAGTCAGGGAAACAAAGCAATATGGAGTAACTCAAGCTAAGGGCCTGCATGGGCACTAGGAGGATGGGGTGGAGCTACCGGAAATTCGTGCCTTATGCAAATGAGACACCCAGCCCTCATCAGTTTCTTGTAAAAGCCTTTGCATTCAGCTGTAAAAATGGCAACCATCTTCCAAGCCCCCTCTCTGCAGGGGAGAGCTTTCTTCTTTTGCTTATTAAACTTTTGCTCCAACCTCACCCTTTGTATCCACGCTCCTTAATTCTCTTGGTGGTGAGACAAAGAACTCCAGGTAACACCTCACAAGGAGAGACTGAGAGGCTGCTACGTTGTGGTGCATTGGCAAGACTAACAAACTGGCTAGTGGGACATGCACACTTGCTTGGTAGACATATATGTAGATCTTCAGCTCTGACTAATGAAGGAATACCAAAAATCTCATAAAAGAAAAAAATATTTGAGCTTTGTTTTGTGGTGTAAGTGGGAGCCCCACAGGCACCCAGGATAGGAGAGCTTTGCTCAGAATCCAGGAAGTGAACATCTTTCCCTGGGCCAGGCCAAGAATGAGACTAAGCTGATTGAGGAGCCTGGTGCCTCCTGGCAAGAAAGGGTGTCTGACACCTGACTATCCAGAAGTCACAGCTACTCAATATTGAGACTTGAAACAGAGAGAGAGAGAGAGAGAGAGAGAGAGAGAGAGAGAGAGAGAGAGAGAGAGACACACACACAGAGAGAGAGAGAGAGAGAGAGAGAGATCTGATTTGAAAAGCAGAATTCTGCTGGGGGCTTGTTAAATGCAGAGTTTCTGATACAGTAGGTCCAGGCCAGGCCCTGAAGATTGCATATCTAAGTTCCCAGGTGATGCCAATGCTGCTTCCCCCAGGACCACACTTTGAGAACCACCACCCTAAGGCAATCTGTGTTGGTTTCTAATATCAGAAGAGGGCTGGGAGTGGGCTGGGAGGCAGAGGTGTAGGATCAGTGAGACCACACCTGACCCACCCTGGACAGCTCCCCACCCCAATCTTACAGCATTTTATTTCCTGGGAGTCCTGGGAATGGAAGACACCCAGGAAGGGACCAAATGTGGGGTCACAGGGTGATCCAGAGGCTCGGCTTCATACAGCACCTGGGGCTCCCGCCACTCCACAACTGGCCCCCACACCCTCAGTCTTCCCACCCCTCACGACACTGACCTCCAGACCTTCCTCGACTAATCTCAGCAGGTTGGGCCTGGGATGTGACACTAGGCGCTCTGAGTGTACCTTCTGATCCAAAGATAGGGTGACTGCGTATGACAAGTACTCAGATGGGCCATTAATAGGACCTTGAACATTTGGCAAATGGCTTCAGTCACGTGTGCTTGAGAATTCCAGTGTTTTCTAGATATGGCATCCATGAGCCCACACAAACACTGGAGGTCGTCGTGAGCATACTGAAACCCATAACTGCTGCACTGGATCCCCTAGAATCCCTTTCCCACTTAGACCAAGATTTGAACAAAGTTTCATTCACCAAACAAATTGCATTTAATTAATCATGCTGTTATTTTACCTTGTAATGGAAAAAAGATAGATGTAAAGAAAGATCATGCAATTAAAAAGAAAACAACGTACTGAATTAAAATGGTGGTAAACCTCCTTGTTAAAGGAATAATATAATATTTAGAAAATTTTAAAAATTTATTTTAATAAAAGGTAAAAAAATTCTATTAGTTTTTAAAAGGTTTTTCATTTTGAATTTTTTTGGGGTTTGTTTGGTTGCCCTAGGAATTATATTTTATTTCTTGATATAGTTCAAAATTCAAAATTCAAAATATTCAAAAGGTAAAATGTCTCTTTCTTACCCTGTCTCATCCCCAACAGGCAACCAGGGATATCTTCTTGCTTATTCTTCCAAATATATTTTATGCATATGCAAGCAAATATAAATGTGTATATATATCTCTTTGTCCCTTTTCACACAAATTTTAGCAGACTCTATATGTTATTCTACACCTTGCTTTATTTCTTCTTAAAAATGTATCATGGAGACCATCCCATGAGGGAATATCAAGAGTTTCCTATGTCTTTCTTCTTTTGTGTTAAATGTTTGTAGACTCCGCCGTGTAGATATGCAGTGCTTGTTTGGGTTTTCTTAGGAAGGTAGGGAGGCCTCCTCATGTTACCCAGAGTGGAGTAGAGTGTATTCACAGGTGAATGCTACTGTGCCCAGCTTGCAATGCTTTTTTAACTAGTCCGCTAGTGACAGACATTTGGATTATTTTTTCTTTTATCTTTCATTTTCTTTCTTCTTTCCTTTTTGATTTTACAAACAGGGTTGCAACATATAATTCTGAATACAGTCATTTTTCAGGAATGCAGGTCTATTTTTGGACACATTTCTAGAAGTGGGACTACTGGGTGTATGCATTTTTAATTTAGACAGAAATTGCCATACTGCCTTTCCTGAAAACATTTCCAGTTTGCAGGCCCATCTGCAATATATCAGAGTACCTGTTTTGGTACCATTAGTTTTTTGATTATAGAAATATGTAGAGATATATATTTGGGAGCCATCTGTGTCTAGACGATATTTAAAATCCTGGGAGTGGAGGACACTAGAGTGATTGGGAGGCAGTAAAACCCCACAGTGCTCCAGCATCTACAGCAAAAGGAGCCAATGAAGGGGGACTGAGGCGGAGCAGCTAGTTGGGGAGGAAGATAACTTGACCTGTAAAATGTCAAAGAAGATTTTAAAGGGGGGAGTTGATACAACCTCTTCAGAGAACAATTTGACATCCTATAACATCATATGGTAAAAGCACAGTAATCCCATTCCTACATCCGTATCTTGGGGAACTCACACAGGGGACCAGAGAGAGATGACCCAGGATGTTCATTGTGGCAGTGTCTGTAACAGAAACAAGCTAAAGGTCGCGGACAGGAGAAGAGATAAATTGTGGGATATTCGTCTCATAAATACTATCCAGCACTGAAAACAAATGAACTGTTTCTATGGGTGTGTGGGTTCACCTCATAGACCATATTAAACGATAAAGCAAGCCACAGAATGATACATTCAACAAAAAACAATTTTTACAAAGTCTAAAATCATGTCAAACGAAAGGATTTAAAAAACTTTATAGGCCGGGCGCGGTGGCTCACGCCAGCACATTGGGAGGCTGAGGCGGGCGGATCACGAGGTCAGGAGACCGAGACCACCCTGGCTAACACAGTGAAACCCCGTCTCTACTAAAAATACAAAAAAATTAGCCGGTCGTGGTGGTGGGCTCCTGTAGTCCCAGCTACTCGGGAGGCTGAGGCAGGAGAATGGCGTGAACCCGGGAGGCGGAGCTTGCAGTGAGCCGAGATCGCGCCACTGCACTCCAGCCTGGACGACAGAGCGAGACTCCGTCTCAAAACAAACAACCAAAAAAAAAAACACTTTGTAGCAATATAAAGGCATTCACCAAATTCAAGACATCCGCCACTCCCCACTGGCAGTCCAGTACTCAGTACAGTAGTACTGTACAGTACATAGAGTACTGTACTGTATGTGTTTCAGCGGAAACACATACATAACAGAACTGTGGAGAATCAGGGCTATCTGCATATATTTCTATTATTTTCTATGTATACTACATATAGCCAATAATATTAAAATGTTACAAATTGACAAACCTGGGTAGGGGCTTCACAAAGATTTCTTTTAATTCTCTATTCTTCCAGCTAGAACTACCTCATAATAACTAGCAGCAACATGGATGGAACTGGAGGTCAGTATGTTAAGTGAAATAGACCAGGCAAAGAAAGACAAATATCACATGTTCTCACTCACATGTGAGAACTGAAAAAAAGTTGATCTTATGGAGGTGGAGAGTAGAATAATAGTTACCAGAAGCTGGGAAGGGTGTGTGGGGGATCTGGGAGATAAAACGAGGTAGCTTAATGGGTACAAAGATACAGTTAAATAGGAGGAATAAATTCTAATATTCGATAGCACAGCAGGCTGGCTGTAGTTAACAACAATGTATTGTGTATTTCACAATAGCTATAAGAGTGGATTTGAAATTCACCCAACACAAATAACTGATAAATGCTTGAGGTGATGAGTATCCTAAATATCCTGACTCGATCATTTCACATTCTACACATGCATGAAAATATTATGTGTAACCCAAAGTATGTATAAATATTATGTGCCAATAATTTTTATTAAAATACCACAAGCTCAGTACAATAAGGAGTATTTTAAAATGATACAAAAATTATTTGTGTGATAATTTGGCAAATATTTCCTGTTCATTAACATCAATTTTTTCTCCTATAAGTATAAGGAGAATAATACCTAAATAGCATCAGAAGTGGTTGCTTTCCTGAAAGAGAATCCTTTTCCCAGTTAAAAATACAGAATCAGAATCACTAAAGTAAATAGGACTTTGGAGAACTACATAGCACTGGGTCTTGCTGCCCTGGGGCGGCCAGGCTGAGGGAGTGCTCACCTTCCAGGGAAAACTAAACTTCGGCTCCCTTGTTTTGGTAGTGTTCTTTTTTTTTTTTTTTTTTTTGAGATGGAGTCTTGGTCTGTCGCCCAGGCTGGAGTGCAGTGGCGAGATCTTGGCTCACTGCAAGCTCTGCCTCCTGGGTTCACACCATTCTCCCGCCTCAGCCTCCCGAGCAGCTGGGACTACAGGCACCCACCACCACGCCCGGCTAATTTTTCTTTTTGTATTTTTAGTAGAGAAGGGGTTTCACCGTGTTAGCCAGGGTAGTCTCGATCTCCTGACCTCGTGATCCGCCCGCCTCGGCCTCCTAAAGTGCTGGGATTACAGGCGTGAGCCACTGCGCCTGGCCTTTGGTGGTGTTCTTATTGCAAGACCAACATTTCAAAATATCAACAGAGTCCAGCCAAAGGGTTGTATTCTCTTTTATTTCTTATAATATGCACCGCCAAGGATGGCGCAGACTCTTATGGGCTAAACTGTGTCCCTGTACACATATTTTGAGGCCAATGTTGACAAGATAGAGGGAGAAGATGGCCATCTGTAAGCCAGAGACAGGCCTCAGGAGCAATCAGCCCTGCAATACATTCCATCGTGGACCTGTAGCCTCCAGAACTGGGAGATAATACATTTCTACTGTTTAACTTACCCAGTCTGTGCCACTTTATTATGGAAGTCTTAGCAAATTAAAACAGAGATATCACCTTTTCTACCCTGCCCTACATATGAAAATGAGATTTTTCAAGAGTATGAATTATGTAGGATTCCAAAGCATAGAACGGATAGATTGAAAATTGACAATGGCAGGTGATGTAGAGTTTGGGCAGATGTAGGCTGGCTTCCAAGCCTCCGTGGTCCCATGGTCACCACACAAAGGTGGAGATGTTCTCATTCCTTTTCATTTTCACTTGGAGCAAAACATGTGGGTCCACACTGGTATATGATCAGAAGATATATTTAACTGATTTGAGATATTGAGGTAGAAAGTCTTGCTGTACTTTTATAGAAAGATGAATGATAATTATCATCACTAAAGGGGCTTTTAGGCAGGGTGTTGCTGGCATTATGTTTTCCTCCTACATTTAAGGTGCATGTTCCTAAAAAAGCCCTGTCTAGGAGTAAAGGCCATCACTTAAATTTTTCTGTTTCTGCGGCCGGGCGCGGAGGCTCACGCTTGTAATCCCAGCACTTTGGGAGGCCAAGGCGGGCGGATCACGAGGTCAGGAGATCGAGACCATCCTGGCTAACATGGTGAAACCCCGTCTCCACTAAAAATACAAAAAATTAGCCGAGTGTGGTGGTGAGCGCCTATAGTCCCAGCTACTCGGTAGGCTGAGGCAGGAGAATGGCATGAACCCAGGAGGTGGAGCTTTCAGTGAGCCGAAATCGCTCCACTGCACTCCAGCCTGGGTGACAGAGCAAGACTCCGTCTCAATAAAAAAAAAAAAAAAATTTTTCTCCACCTGTCAACTCATTGGTCCTCACTTCATTTCAGTAAGGTTACCGGAATGTCTGTGTTTATCCAGGATTCACAGATGAGTTTAAAAGTCCCTAGTGGTAGAGAGCTTCTCCCGAGGTCACACGGCAACCGAGTGTGGTGGAGCAATGACAGGCATGTGGCAACCTTGGTCCGTACTCCAGTTCTCTAGGTGCCATGAGAATTGCAGCCTTTGGTTCATTTTCTATTATTTTTTTTTTTTCTGAATGAGTGAAGGAAAATGTGTGTTGAGAACAAAGTGCCAGAGACCTAAGTCCATTCCTTAAACCTGCAGGGTTGGGGCCTGGAGAGACAGAGGCTGCCACTGATTCTCTGAATTCCAGCTTCCGTTGTCAGTCACGCAGCTGAAAGCAGGAAGAAGCTTTCTCTTCTGCACTTGGAACAACAGGGTGAAGATGACAGAGAGTCCCACATCTACCATGGAAAAGGCAATGGTCCCTAAATCATGCCAAGTTTTCTAATGACATGTGTTTTCCCGCAACATGTAACTATATGTCCTCCCTTCAAGCACCAGTTATCACAGTACAAACACAGCAACAGCATAAAGGAATGACTACTGAGCCTGAAGCTCTGATGGATGCTCTGAGTTGAAACTTTGTTTTATACTTAGGTACCTGTGAGTCATTGCAGAGTTTTGCCTGACTCCACCATGACCCAATTTGATCAAGGTCTATATGCTATGAGACCTCTCTAGTTCCTCATCAGAAATTATAATGAATACCATGTCCAGCTCCTGAGGTGCCTGATGGCAACGAGTGGCAGCTCCTCTTGGGGCAACACTTTGGGGGTGACCAAGGCCTCACAGACCTCACTACTGCTGGGCTACATGGCCCAAGGCTCCTGGGCACAATGGATCGGTGGTCTTGGATTCGCCTCGGACATTTAATGACATTTGTTCTTGGGCTTTCACAAGTGGTCTCTGGTTGAGATGGAAGGAAAGGACGCAGGGACACAAAATCTCTGACTGCCCAGGGACCCCCTCACCGTCCTCACTTCCACTCAAGACGACATGGCCGTTCCACTAAATTCCCGAGGACATGGCCAACATGAGTAACAACACAGGGAAGTGCCTTACACAGAGTTCCATGGAAGCCTGGCTAGTACCCTCTAGACCATTTACCTACACCTGTTGGGATCTCTCTAGCATGAAATGCTCCAGAGGCAGTCATGCCATAAGCTTGGATCCTCCAGCCATTGAGTGTGAGGGTCTTAGCCCGGTCTAAATGAGCACTGAATTCTAGAGAGACCAAGGGACCGTCTAAGTTCTGAATTCTGAGTCCTGAATCCTGGAAGTTGGCTTCTGGCCAGGGAGCAGGTGTTACTGCCTCTGATCCACAAAAGCAGCCCCACAGCTCAAGTTGCTCTTCTGGATTTCTCCCCTCTCCTGGTTCCTGGCCAGGCAAATCTTCACTGCTTTGTTAGCCCAACCATTTGCTCAACCAGATTTTTCAAATATGTATGTTTTCCTCCTTTTCCCATTGTACTCAGTGGAAGGAATGGTCTAAATTACCTAATCAGCAATTCCTGGAAACCAAGCCACCATGTACATACAATCTTATACGTTAATGTCACATACAAGAAAGAAAATGCAGAGGTACCAGTAGTGGCTACCTAAGCAGTGTAATGTAGAGGTAATAAAAACGAATTGTTGGATAGTATCTATCTATGCCATGAGTAAAATACATATCAATAAATTACAACTTCTAAGAAAATAATCTCTATATGTAATATATGACTATGACTCTGATAGACAAACCTCGGAGTATTGTCTGAAGACACTTCTCATCACCTTCACCTCATGAGCCAGATGGTGTGAAATGAGGAGCAGAGATTTGAAATGTGTGGCAAGCCTCTCTGCAAAGCAGCAGAGTAACATTCTACATGAGCGAATCAAAGCAATCTCACAAATGACATTGGATGTGCGGTGTGGGATGTGTGTCCTTATTATAATGGAGTTAATCCTTTAAGTAGGTAATCCTTTTACATGAACTGGATTCTAAATGACTTATTAGCTATCAATTAGCCAGGAATTTTTCCCTTTACTAAAAGAGAGACCCTGCCATGAACCAGCATTTCCCAGGTGGAGGTCTCTGGCAGACATCAACTTCTAACAGGGTAAATGTCCTGTTTCTTTAGTCAGGGAAAACTGACTTTCACAAGTGGTCTCTGGTTGAGGGATCCCATTTTGAGTGGGGCATTTGCCAAGTCACTTCTCCCTGTTCCTGCTGGGGCTGGGGATGATGAACCGAGTGAAGACACAAACTCTGAGAGGGAACCAGGCAGACAGGCAGACTGACAAGGAGGGCACTGCCTGGTCTAGTTACCATTCGCACCCAGTCAGAAGAGGTGAAGGGTGAGAGAGGAGGCTGCTGGGAACTGGAATATTAGCAGCCAGGAAGGCCAAGAAAGTGCAGGCTGACAGTATAGGCCAGAGGCTGGAGACCCTGGGAGGGAGCTTTGTTGTTCCCTCTGAGCCCCAGGGTGCAGGAGAGGGTCCTTTTCACCAGGGAGCTTCAGCCTTCAGGATGATTTCTGGGCTCTGCACTCCACTGATCCTCCATGAGGACTTTAAACAGCAAGATGAGGTACCCAGGGCCCTAGGAATCTGATTCTCATATACCCTGAAATACCTTTACTAAAAATATCATCCCTATGTTTTGCTTATTTCTTATAACATATAAAACATTAAGCCAAACCACTGTACAGAATTTATTAATATGTAGATATGAGGTGTCTGGTGACAGATCCTCCAAGTTATTTATATCAGAGGAAGAAAGTGGTCTGGCTGCATTCACAGATGAGAACAGCAGGGTAGCAACACTCAGGACCATGACACTGGGTGCTCCCAACCCTGAAGGGAAGCGTCTCACTGTACACAGATGGCCAGGAGAGTGATCACAGGGTCCTGTGTTATCTCCTCCTCCTCCTCTCCTGGGTCCTGGGTTTCACTTCCTAATCTCAGCTGGTAGCAAAATTAACTTGGTATTCAAGACCCTTATGGCCCCTCTTCACCATAGCATCTCATCAGGTCTCTTTCCTCATAAGAATTTCAGCACAGGGGTGTACTCTAGAAATATCACCATGGAAGGGGTGGCAGAGGCAGCTCATCTCTAACTCCTCAAATAGAGAGGATGGAGCCACAGTCCTGTGCCTCACCCATCCCATGGTCCTGCCTCAAATACAGTCTCCTCCTGCAGGCTGCTGGGTCCTCTTTATTGTCATTCTCCAGATGGTGACAGGGTCCCAGGCAGACGTGCTCACAGCTTCCTTGGGGCCTGATACCAACAGGAGTTGAGGCCAGGGAGCAGCTTTGGGCTGTAGCGATCTTTGGATTTGAAGGTAGGGGATGGTGATGGGCTGCCCATAATGCTCTAGGTGTAAAGGCTGAGAGTGGCTGAGCTGAATCTGGTCATTACCATGTTCTCCACAGTTTGAGAGCTGCCTTGTGCAGACCAGCAAGACACAGATAGTTCTCAGCCCCCTTATATCTCTGTGGACCCTGACTTTTCTTCCCCCAGCTGCTGTCCTCCCAAGCACAGCCCCGGGAGGATGTAGGGAGAGGGACCCATTCCCCTGATGCCCCAGAACCCCTTTCATGTAATCCCAATATCCAGGCCTGGGGTCCCCTTCTTTGGATCGACCTTTCTTTTCTTGGAATGAAAGGGTTACAGGGTCTCCCTCCCAGATCTCCACTGTGACTCACTCACCCTAAATAGATGTCTTGCTCTACAGTTATCTTCTGCATAGTGTTTTCTGAAGATGTGATAAAATATTATAAGCCATTAATAAAACATGGAAGTTAGGTTCTCTTTTTGGATTCTGAGGATCTGCTGTGCTGGGGCAGGGGCAGGTGGGGAGAGAAGGGCAGGTGGAGGGGCAGGAGCTGAGTGGTGTGCGGCCTCGCTCTGTGCCCAGTAAAGCTCCTGCTGTGGTCATCTCTTGTGTATTTGTCTGGATCCCTCCATGTGCTGGGATTTGTGCCTGGTCTTTAGGGGCGGGTGCTGCTCCAGGTCGGAGGCCTCACACATCTCCAGGCTGAGCCTTTCTCCAAGTCCATGGAGGTCGCGGGCTGAGAATGGCCAGTCCCACTCCTGCCTTGAGTTTCACTTTATTTGGCATATTTTTATATGTTGATCTGATCCTTCTCACAAGGGATGTTTATGAGCATTATTTCATAGGAGAGCCACTACCATCCCGCCGTGGCCATGCTCTGTCCCTGACACCAGGATCCTGGGTGCTTTGTTTTTGTTCTCCCCTGAAGTCCCGGGACAGCCTCTGCACGTGGGGCTTCTCAGATGACACAGATTGATGATTTCCACCTTAGCCTTCTTTCCTCTTCCATTTCCAGAATACTTCTATTTTTTTCTTTTATTATACTGTCAGATTTTCAAGTTAAGGGCTGGGCACAATGGCTCACACCTGTAATGCTAGCACTTTGGAAGTCCAAGTCAGGGGGATTGCTTGAGGCCAGGAGTGGAAGACCAGCCTGGGCAACATAGCAAGACCCTGTCTCTATGAAACAAATCGAATTAACACCATGAATACATGTGTTATTGTCATGTCATAAATAAATTCTTGTCACTTCTTCTGTGGGACAGTCAGGGTCCTGGCAGGAAAGAGATGACAAAGAAAGAAGACACACATTACAGAGGTGCTGGCAGGCCTAAGAAAGCCACAAGGGGTGCTGAAGCTCCCTGGGATGATCAGTGGCAGGAAACTGTTTCCATCTCTGAGTTGAAAGAACAAGGAAGAGGGAGCAGTTTCCAGAACTCACGGAAATCTGTAGCTTTCACTAGGGGCAGCCCCGCAGGCCTGTGGCTGTAGGTAGAGGACGGCAATGATTACAGAACCGCAGAGCTGTCCAAAGGGAGTGAGGGAAGTGAAAACCCTGAGTTACTTCTCCCCCCACGCTCCCATCTCCTGCAGGTGCCTGTTATCATCCACACCCAAGCAGAAGCAGGTGGTGCAGGAGCACAGGCCGTGCTGTCTCTGTGGTGCCCCCAGTGCAGGGGGCAGGATGGAGGAGAGTGAACCACAGCTCTGTGGAGGGGAAGCAGAGAATAATGCACTCACCTGCTTACGGTGTTCACATTCTTCAGGGAATTTACTTAAATATACCAGAGTTTGTTCTAATCCAAAAATATGACTTTAAAAAGAAGTATCTCACTTATAAATGCATAGCAGGTAGTAAAATTGAGTATTACCTCACTCTCCTTCCCTTTCCCCACATGGGACTGTATAACTCATAAATGAATAACTTGATTTATTATTATTTTTTAAAAATAACTTGAATTATTTGGGTGTAAGCCATAAAAGCAGAGTCTGGCTCAGATCAGCAAAGGGAAGTTGTTGGGCAGCTGGGGGTGCAGTTCACAGAATCACAGATACTTTCAAAGTACCAGGACAGCACCGAGGAGCAGGCGGCAAGCCCTGACCAGTCTCGTTGGACTAGACCATGGAGTGAAAGAATCGTCACTGATACTGATAGCTTGTGACTGCAGATGCTTTAAATTCTGAGACAGTTTACCCAAATGGCTTAGTTTAGATCTCATGCATTTCTTATTTCCTTGTGATTTAATTTCAGGGATAGAGTCAATATCTTCCCTTAAGGGAAGTTCCTTTCCTGTTTATCTTGTTAAACTAGGTGGAAGGGGAAAGACTTTTTCAAGTTCCCATGGACCCATATACATCATGACATCAATCTAATTGCTCTCATCCAGTGATACGGTTTGGCTGTGTCCCCATTCGAATCTCAACTTGAATGGTATCTCCCAGAATTCCCACATGTTGTGGGAGGGACCCAGGGGGAGGTAACTGAATCACTGGGGCCAGTTTTTCCCGTGGTATTCTTGTGATAGTAAGTCTCACGAGATCTAATGGGTTTATCAGGGGTTTCCGCTTTTGCTTCCTCCTCATTTTCTCTTGCCACTGCCATGTAAGAAGTGCCTTTCACCTGCCGCCATGATTCTGAGGCCTCCCCAGCCATGTGGAATTGTAAGTCCAATTAAACCTCTTTTTCTTCCCAGTATGTCTTTATCAGCAGCGTGAAAATGGGCCAATGAGAGGGGCTATTTCCTCCACCACCAGTGGCGCTGTGGGAGGCTCTTCTGCACCCATATTGCAGCTCAAACCCATTAAAAGGGGAATCAGAGAGCTGGGCTAGGCATTTCCCTTCCCTACACTACAGGAATCCTAGTTGTGTTTCCCTTCTGTTTGATAGACTTAAATCTAGATAGTCACTAAGTTGCTGTGTGGTCACGTTTTGGAGAGAAAGGAAAGCAGGCAGGAGTGAGGACACTGGCACCCCAACTGCTGCCTGTGGGCACCTGCACATTCATGCTCCACTCTCACACTCACACTTACACACGTGTACACACACTCCAATTCCCACTTGTGCACACATGCACACACGTGTGCAGCCACACACACACACTCAAGTCAGCACTGGAGGATGACACTTCCCAACACCCTTGTACCCACGTGCCATTCTTGGGGATTTGTGCGGCTGGAGGCAGGAGGTCCTGAGGAGGCACCACCAGGGACTACCACCAGGGGGAGGGTTGAGTGAGTGGGGTCCTGCCAAGGCACTGGTGGATGGGATGATACCTACGGGATGCACTGGCAGGGGCAGACGTTTGCTCCAAGGCCATCTCCCTTCCATCTCCTCTCCCTGCTCAGGCTCATAGCCCTGACCTGAGGCCCAGCTAGAAAGGCAGAAGGCATCCTCCCACACAGAGCACACAGCTCCTTCCCTGCATCAGAACCCTCGGTGGCACCATCAAGTTGGACAGATATAGTCAGGCGAGGTGGGGGGTCACTGCAGAGGACAAGAAGGTCCTGTCCTGGAATCTGCAGCCAAACACCTTTGGCCACAGACTGAAGGCTGCACTGTCAGCTTCCCTACTTTTGAGGTTTTGGGACTTGGACTGATCCATCACTGGCTTTCTTGCACCTCAACTTGCAGACGGTCTGTCGTGGGACTTCACCTTGTGATCGTGTGAGTCAATTCTCCTTAATAAACTCCCTTACATATGTACATACATCCTATTAGTTCTGCTCCTCTAGAGAACGCTGACTCACACAGTGGGTGAGGCAGGAAGTTGCGTGAGCTGCCCAAAAGCCACCAGGAGCCACTCTCTCCAGGCTTTGGCCTCACTTCAGTGCCAGGCCCTGCCACAGCCCTTGCCCCCATCCTACTCTGCCACCCCCAGCTCCCTCCCAGCCTGACCCCAGACAGAATCCAGAACAACTCCTGTTCCTGACCTGAAAAATGTTCTCGCCAGTTTAGGCAGAACTTGCTTTAGAGCCCTGGTGTCCAGCCCGCCACAGGTCTTGTGTCTGTTTCTCTTGGCACTGTGTCTTTTCTCACTTATTCTTCTGAAACTCTGCAAGGCAGGAATTATGTCACTGGTTTGCAGGTGAGGAAACTGGCTCAGATGGTTTCATTCAGCACTCACTCACTGGGCAAGTGTCTGTCGGGGCCAGCTCTGGGTCAGATGTGCTCAGGCCTCTTCAGCTGGCTGGTGGGAGGACCTGGAGGGTTCATGCCCAGGTCCAGGCCCATCTGACTTGAAAGCTTTTCCTGACTTTGCTTCAGTGCTGATTTCCCCTTTGCAGGTGCACCTTCCACTGTGCTTTCCTTTATTACTGTTTGCTGACACTGCATTTTTTCCTTTGCTTTTTCTTTCTTTCCATCTTTCTTTCTTTTTTCTTGCTTTTTTATTTATAGACCGAATGTTTGTGGCAACCCTGTGTCAAGCAGGTCTATTTGGCACCATTTTTCCAACAGCATGTGCTCACTTCATGTCTCTGTGTCACATTTTGGTAATTCTTGAAGTATTTCAACCTTGTTCATTATTACACCTGTATGGTGACCTGTGGTCAGTGATCTTTGAAGTTACTCTCGTAACTGTTTTGGGACACCATGACCCACACCCTTATAAAATGGTGAACCTTATTGATAAATGTTGTGTATGTTGTGACTTCTCCACCAACTGGCTGGTTTCTTGACTCTCTCTCTCTCTCCCGGCCTTCCCTATTCTGTGAGACACAAAAATATTGAAGGTAGGCCGATTAGTAACCCTACAATGGCCTCTAAGTGTCCAAGTGAGGAGAATAATCTTGCTGCAAACTTCGTTGTGTTATTTTAAGAAATTGCCACAGCGATTTCAGCAACCACCCTTCTGATCAGTCAGCAATTATTAACATTGAGGCAAGACCCTCCACAGCAAGAAGGTTAGGATTAGCTGAAGCCTCAGGTGATTGTTAGCATTTTTTAGCAATAAAGTAGTTTTACATTAAGGTATGTACATAGTTCATTTTGTACATAATGCTATTGTACACTTAAGAGACTACAGTCAAGTGTAAATATAACTTTTATATGCACTGGGAAACTGAAAAATTTGTGTGACTTGCTTTGTTGCCATGGTCTGGAACCAAACCTGCAATGTATCTGAAGTATGACTGTAATTTCCCTTTCCCTCTTCTTGCTGGCCCAGAATGACCTTGTTTCTTGCCCCTGTCTAGCCCTGCATACTGTAGGGGTTTGCCTTCTCTGGTAGGTCTGGGCACTTTGTATCCCTTGTAACTCTGGCTCCTGGAATATGACACTGGTACAGGGCTCAAGCTCTGTTGGACTAGTGAGCCTCCTCCCATTCTTCCTGAACTAGAACCAAAGCTCCGTGCACACACTGTGCATGTGTGAGCCTGTGTAGAGATGTCGGCTTCCTGCAGCGTGTTCTGAAGGCGTGTCCTGTTGTGACTGGGGGCACAGCCACAGGCCACTGGGCAGAGGTGGTTCAGAAGGGAGTGGATGGCCCCAGTTTTGATCATCTGAAAACAGGGAGGTCCTCAGAGAAAAACCCATGTCTTAGAAGGCAAAACTGCCCGAGAGTGGACAATGGCTAACCAGGTCACTATCTGGGACATCACTCTGCACTAGGAGGGAAGATGGCCTCTGCCATGGTATAGAGGTCCAGGAACCAGGCAGGGAGGCCTTCCCGGTGGTCAGTGCTTCTCACAATTGGTAGCTAAAGTATCTTTAGATGAGGCCAAAGGCCTCATGTTCCTCACTAGCTGACTTGTTCCCACTCAGTGGAAAAAGAACCCAGAAACTTTGTAAAATGTTAGGGGAGAGGTACTTTCCCTCTTGACTCTTAGTGCTAGGGTTATGCATGACGCATACTTGCATTGCAATGTGTACACAGCTTAAAGTCTTAATTATTAGAATATAAGAGGCCCAAACTACTGTTTTTATACATATGTGAAACTGTACATATAAGGTTAAACAACCTGCAACCAGTTAACTTTGAAGATACATTTATCACATTTGTAAATTTTCAAACAATATTGGCAGGCATTTAGAAAAACAACAAATGAGACTCTTGCAAGACAATCTAAATGATACGCTAATAACATTGCTTCATGAAAAGGACATTTGAACCATCTGAGTTTCTGCCTTAGGTTATAACTCCAAAATGGACGAACCCCCAGTAGTTTATAGCAGGCAGCCCCAAGCCACACACAAATGTGTCAGTGCAGACCTGAGACCTGGAGTGAGCCCCCCTCCCTCAGGGACAAGAGTGAATCCTCTAAGACCCCTCTTCCTCCAGGCCCTCCATCCAGTCCTCAGGGAGACAAGAAAGGGTCCACACAGCACTGAGGCCCAACTATCTCCCTGTCCTCACCTCCATGGACAGAGCCCAGGTGAAAGCCACCCCTGAGCCTCCTCCCTCATCTCCCACAGCCTCAGCACCATCATCTGCCTTGAGTCCACCAGGACTGAGCTCATCATGCCTTTTCCCTGTTTGTGTCAGTCACACTGGGTCCCCCAAACACCCTGCATTCACATCCCCACAAAGCTCTGCACACCCCTATTTTGTCTCCCCATACCCCATTCCCAAATCCAGAAGTCTTCCTGCTGTGCCCCTTGGAATTCTCAGCCCATGATCAGCAAAACCTCCACATCCTGTCTCAGGATGTTCCTGGACCTCACAGCTCCAGCGATGTCTGTGTCTGCCAGAGGATGTGGTCCCTTCCAAAGTCCTCCCACATGGGGGAGTTTGCACAGGGACCTTGTACCCTTGGCCCAGAGGTGGGGTGGCATCCTCACTCCTCACTGTGGTTCTCAGACCTTTCTGCCTCCTTCCTTCCTAAGCCCCCAAAGCTGTCATCAGATTCAGGCCCCACTCCCCTCATTGCAGCCATTCCCTGTGGGCCCCAGGCCGTTCCTCTCAGTCCTGACTCTTGTAGTTCCTGGTTCACTATCGCCCTCTCCAGCAGTGCTGTCTCCTTGATCCTCGGTGACTTCAACATACTCAGATGTGATGGGCCGAGTAATGGTTCCCAAAGACATCCAATCTCAATCCTGGGCACCCACGAGTAGGTTGCATTACATGGCAAAAGGGAAAATACTGATGTGATGAAGATTAAGGACCTTAAAATTGCAAGATTATTTTGGACTATCTGTGTGGGCCCGATCAAATCTCACAAGCCATTAAAAGCAGAGAAGCTGCTCTGGCTGGAGTCAGATTCTGCAGAGGAGGAAGGCAGAGGAGACACCGCAGAAGGGGGAGGTCAGAGGTTCCAAGCAGGAGGATTGGATATGTTGCATGGGATATGTATGAGGAACTGAGAGAGGGCTCTAGGAGCTAAGGGTGGCCCCTGGACAGGAGCCAGCAAGGAAGTGGGGATCTCAGTCCTATCTGCAAGGAAGTGAATTCAGACAAGAACCTGAATGAGCTTGACAGTAGATTTTTCCTCAGAGTCAGAAGGAACACAGACCTCCCCTTACCTTGATTTTAGCCCCATGAGACTGTTGAAATTGTAACACACATGACTGTGACATGATAAAGAGATGCTGTTTAAAGCCACTTGTTTTGTGTTAATTTTTATGGCAGCAATAAACACCCATAGAGCAGAGAGGATGCATCGCCCTCTGGCTTCTCAGATGCTGGGACTCCTCTCCTCCATGACCTTCTCCTCTCTCTGCCTGAATCTCATGCCCTTGTCATATAAGCGTTATTTCGTAGGAGAGCTGCTATCATCCCGCCATGGCCATGGTCTGTCCCTGACACCAGGATCCTGTTGCTTTGTTGTTGTTCTCCCCTAAAGAGTCCTAGGTCTCATCATGGCCAAGAACCCCAGCCCTTCCATACTCTCTATCTCACACTTCCCATTCTCTGACCATCTTTCCACTCATCCCCTTGCACGGAGGCCACAGGCTCTGAGGATACTTATACTATCATTTTATCATATGCTGTGATGTAATATCAGTGAACCACTCATTGCCTATGTGCCTGCTTTCCAGGCTTGGAGTCTGCCCTGTAGTACATCAATTCCAACAATCCTTCCACCCACTCTGGGATTCCCAATCCAGTGATCCTGCCATCTACTCACTGTCCCTCACCCTTGATGTCCTCTCCTCCCTCTTCAGCCATTTTGAATTCTATTGTAAATAATTTCCATCCCTCCCTTGCCCCTCCCTTGCGTTGCCATACTTGTTTGGCAAAACTACACAGCTGGTGGAATCCACCTCTGCCTACGCTGCACCTGCCCCCATGAGCTGAAGGAGGCTGGAAAGCAGCACACAGCATGCTGACTTCTCTCTCTAACTTCATGACCCAAACCTCATGGGGACCCCCCACCACGACCAGCAATCACCCTCTCCAAGCATGGCTCACCCTCAGCCTCCTACTGGTCTGGGTGACTCTCACACACCTTCTCTCTGCTCACACATCCAACCTTCTATCTGCATTCTTACTTCAGCTGATGACCTTGCTTCCTACTTCACTGAGAAAGCTGAACACACTAGAAGACAATTTCACAGATTCCATCTGCTCATGCATTTGCAGCTGCACTGCATGCTGGGTCTTCTACCACATGGATGGTTGTTGTGGGTTAACCTTCCCACTCCCAGCCAGAGCCAGTCCCTCTACTGGTGTCCCAAACATCATCCTTCTCATCTACTTAAAGGTATCAGTTCATCAGTTCATACCTTTTTTTCTCTTTGATCATTACCCTTTGTCCTTTCTCCCCACTGGATTGTTGTGGCAGTCTTGAGAATGCACATCCCAGCCCCTCAGCTAGAGGAAGCACAACTGATGATGCTCTAGCTGTTGCCGCCTGAAATCTATTGCTACGTTTGCTCTCAGACCATACTTGCCATTGGCTTCTTCGATTCAATAATTGAGAGAAGAGGAGAAACAAAGACAGGATTGTCCCTCCTTTAAAGGCCCACTGAGGCTCCAGGGCTCACCCTTACTGAACTTCTCTTAACCTGCACTGGGTCTAGGATACTTTCAGCCAAACTTCCTTCCCTCTCTCCTTCACTGGGGTTTAAACTTGCATTGCAGTCTGGTTGGGCACAGTGGCTCACGCCTGTAATCCCAGCACTTTGGGAGGCCAAGGTGGGCAGATCACATGAGGTCAGGAGTTTGAGACTGGCCTAGCTAACATGGTGAAAACCCGCCTCTACTACAAAGACAAAAATTTGCCAGGTTTGGTGGTGCATGCATGTAATCCCAGCTACTTGGGAGGCTGAGGCATGAGAATCACTTGCACCTGGGAGGTGGAGGTTGCAGTGAGCTGAGATTGCTCAAAAAATAAAAATAAAAAAGCCACTTGCGTCACAGTCTTATGGCTTTCCCAGTCTTTTCTGTCTTGCTCCCCAATTTTTCATGGCTATTTCCCCTAATAAATCCTGGCACATTTAATTCTGTATTGCAGTCTGCTCCTCAGGGGATGCTAACCAACACAAGTGGCTTCAGGAGTGGTCCATAGACACAGACAAAAACGGGGATTGGGGCTGAGCTTGCCCACTGCCTGGCAGGCCGAGAATGCCATCCACGTTGGTTGGGGACAGAGAAAGTCCATGGCACAAGGTGCAGCTGAGCTGCTGTGGATATCCCCAGCACCGACCTGAGAAGATGCCCTGGTTACCGGGTGCTATGGCAGGTGGTGTGATAGAAGCCTCTACACAATAATGACAGGGTGGGAGGGAAAACCTACAACAGGGAAGCTGGCTGGTTACTGCTCAGCTGTGTTGATGCCCTATAAAAGGAGAATGAGAATCTGAGGGATTCTAACAGCTGTCACTGGCTACGTGTGAGGCCTCTGCAGTGTCTCATGGAGAGGCCCTTATTTCCTGTAGCGAAAGGGTAGATAGTGTGGAATGGTAGCTGAAGATATCATTGTGAGGGTTACAGACCTCCAGAGATGTTTGACATTCAGCCAAGGCAGGCCTGTTGTGGAAAATCAGGGCCCTGGTGGGGAAACATGAGATTCTGCAAACTAGGACAGCATTATCAGATGGGTGCCCTCCAGTACCCTCTGGGCATGCAGAGAAGGCTCGCCTTTTCCAGTAATAGTTCCCACTTCCTACGCTGGAAGATGCTGCAGAAGCCTCACCCTTATAATGCAGCGGGAATTCCACTCAGGAGCTTTGCAGGAACTAGCTGGCATGTCCACATAGGATCCTGGGGAACACTTCTGGGATTGGAATTTGAGGGCATTTGATCAAAGGGACAGAATTTCAAGCTAGATAGATAAAAATCCTTTGACTTGGGAACACTTTCTCAAGGCATGATGTATTAGTCCATTTCATGTTGCTGATAAAGACATACCCCAGAATGGGCAATTTACCAAAAGAGGTTTAATGGACTCACAGTTCCATGTGGCTAGGGAGGCCTCAGAATCACGGCAGAAGGTGAAAGCCATGTCTCACGTGGCAGCAGATAAGAGAAGAATGAGAACCAAGCGAAAGGGATTTCTCCTTTTAAAACCATCAGATCTCATGAGACTTATTCACTATCATGAGAACAGCATGGGAAAGACCTGCCCCCATGATTTAATTGCTTCCCTCCTGGTCCCTCCCACAACACGTGGAAATTCAAGACGAGATTTGGTTGGGGACACAGCCAACCGTATCACATGGGTTTTCAAAGACCCCAGGGCATGGGGCAAACCCACTGCTGGGGTGATCCATGTAGACTGGGAAAAAATGATGCCGGTATCTCACAAGCTAGACCTGACTTAGTTGCCCCGGAACATGTAGAAGAGGGAATAATGAGGCTGGGGGAATTTGGCCTGTGGGATGGAGACATTACGTGAGGCCGGAAAGCCCACCGGAACCGTGCTTTATAAGAGGACCCAGGGGGCCCACCTTCCACCAGAGCCTCAGGAACGTGCTGGCAACAGGGACCTGCATCACTAAGAAGTTTCATTGTATTGTTCTCTGAAGGCTGAGGGTGATGGTAGGAAAAGATGTCCCAGAGTTGGGCTCATTAATATCCACGGAGAGGGTGTGGCCCTGAAGAGATAGAGAACAAGTGGTGGCAGTGACCTGCAAAAGCCAGAGGACACGGTTACCATGGCAACCCCAGAGGAGCAGCCGAGGGGGCTTGACCTGCCTGCAGTTGTGGGTAAGGTTAATAGAGGGTGGTGTTCCAGGGTCAGAACAGAAGGGCAGCCAGCAAGAGCACTGCTTGGTATCTATGATAAGAAAGCAAGAATTGAGGAGCAGGAGGCTGAGGGTGTTTGAACCAATACAAAATCATGATCCATTCTCAGTGCCTAGATCTCAGCCAAGCTTCAGATTCAGAACCCAGTGACGGAGGAGGTGTCCATATTCCTAGGAGGAAGGACCCTGCAACCCTGTGGCAAGTGTATGCTGGGTCAATTCCCTGAGCCATTGTGCAAAGGGACCTACAGCCATTTACTTTAGAGACTGTACCCTGGGAAAGGGAAATAGGGAGAACTTGGGGGAGTACTGACTTTGGGTGTGAGATGACATTGATGCCCAGAGGCCCACAGCATCATCATGACCCCCTCACATTGGGGATTACGGAGACCACGAAATAAACCTGGACACATCACGGCTCACCATGGGGTCACTGAGTCCACAGACCCAGCCCTGGTTATCTCCCCATTCTCCTAGTGCATAATTGACACTGATGCCCTGGCAGCTGGAGTCACCCCCACACTGCATCCCTAGTCTGTGGAGTAAGGGCTCTCATTGTGCTGAAGGCCAAAGGGAAACCTCTGAAACTGCCTCCATTCTGGCCAAATCAAAAATGATCGTATGTCCCAGGGTGAATCTTGTGGAAGGCACTGCAAGTGCTGTGGGGGTAGCACCACCATTAGAGAGCTGGAGGATGTGGGGTGGTGTTGGGGTTGCCTATTATCTCCATGTAATTTAGCAAATAAGCCTGATGGAGCCTAAGGAATGAATGGGATTACTAAGGAATGAATGGGATTACTCCAGATGTGACCAAGTAGGAGTCCTGATTGCAGCTAGCATGCTGGCTGGATATATCTGGTAGAGCAGATTAATAAGGCCTCAGGCACACAGTGTGCAGCTGTGGATGTGGTGAGTGCATTCCCTTCCATTCCAATTAGAAGTGGATATAGCCCGGGTGTGGTGGCTCATGCCTGTAATCCCAGCACTTTGGGAGGCAGAGGAGGGCGGATCACCTGAGGCTGGGAGTTCGAGACCAGCCTGACCAACATGGAGAAAACCTCTCTCTACTAAAAATACCAAATTAGCCGGGCGTGGTGGCACATGCCTCTAATCTCAGCTACTTGGGAGACTGAGGAAGGAGAATAACTTGAACCTGGGAGGCGGACATTGCGGTGAGCTGAGATCATGCCATCGCACTCCAGCCTGGGCAAAAAGAGTGAAACTCTGTCCAAAAACAAAACAAAAACAAAACCAAAACCAAAAACAAAACATTAGCCAGGCATGGTGGTGTGCACCTGTAATCCAGCCTGGGTGACAGAGTAAGACTCTGCCTCACACACACACACACAAAAGTGGATATAAAGTGATTCATGTGGGATCCACAACACTTTAATTCATAGTTTGCCTCAGGGCTATTATAATTCCCCAGGCCTCTATAGTACAGTCTTAAGAGATCTGGAGAACCTGGATATACTATAGAATATTAAATTCCTTTATTTCATTGACAACATCATGTTGACTGGGATGGATGAGTAAGAGGAGGAAGGTACACTAGAGGCTTTGGTAAAACATCTTCTCTCCAGAGGGTGAAGATAAATAAACCTTACAGAGATTCAGAAGTGGCCACTGCAGTGAAGTTTTACAGGTCTAGTGGTTAGGGGCATCCAGGGGTGTCCCTTCCAATGTGAAAGACAAACTGTTGCATCTTGCATCCTCATGCAAGGAAGGAAGCACACTGCCTGGTGAGCCTGTTTGAGTTCTGACATCACATTCTACATGTAGGTGTATTGCTTTGACCCACACTCTAGGTGACATAGGAGGATGCCAGCTTTGAGTGGAGCCTCCACAGGAAAGGACACTGCAGCAGATCCAGGCCATGGCGCAGTCACCATCCTTCAGACCCCCTGGTGCTGAAAGTGCCAGTGGTGGGGTAAGATTTGGGGTGGAGCTGAACCAAGCACCAGTAGGAGAGTCACAGTGGAGGGCCTGGGATTCTGGAGTAAGGCCATGTCATCCACAGCACAGAAATATGCCCCATCCAAAGCAGAGAAATATGTTGGAAGCAACTTTTGGCATGTTACTGTAGGCCCTGATAAGATAGAATGCTTGACCATGGGACACAAAACAACCATGTGATTCCAAGTGCCCCTACGAATTAGCATCTGTGTAACTCATGAAGTCATACATTGGACATGCCCAACAGCATCCATCATGAGATGGAAAAGTTTCTTGTGAGTTGAGCCTGAATCCCATGTTAACATCCCCAGAAAACACCCAAACCTGAAATGGCCCTGAACAACCAAGCAGAAGCACTGAAATTAGCCAGCCTTCCCCATGGGTCAGCCCAGGCCGGGTAGGATGGGTACATAAATGGAGCAAACACAGTGGCAGGGATGAGGCTACCTATGGGTCCAACAGTACTGACTCCCTCCTACCAAGGTAGATCCAGACACTGCCACCTCTAAATGTCCTACTCATCAGCATTTGAACCCAATGATCTTCCCTGGTAGGGCTCTATTTCTTTAGGTGACCAACCAGACCCTAAGTGAGGAGTTGACTACATTGCACTCCTTCCATCCTGGAAGGGCCAGAGGTTCATCTTCACAGGGATAGGCACCTATTCCATAGGTGGGTTTTCCTGTCCTGCTCTCAGACCCTCAGCCAGCACCACTCTCTGGGGGCTGTTGATATTCCTGATCCACAGGCTTGGCACTGCTCTCCGTGCAGTATCTTCGTGGGGGACCCACTTGACAGCGAAGGAGGTGCAGTGTGGCCATGCTGTGGGACCCACTGGTCCTATCACCATCTGCACCAACCAAGGGCTGCTGGCCATAAAGAATGTTGAAAAGAGCTTCTATAGGCACAGCTCAACGCCAGCTTGCAGGAAGCACTCTGCGGGTGGGAGGGTGCCATCTTTCAGGACATGGTGCATTTTAAAAATCAAAGACATCTCTACAGTTCTGTAATCTCAGTAGGAAGAACACGTGGGTCCAGATACCAAGGGGTGGAAGTGGATGTGGCTCCATATCCCATTCCTTCAACTCACCTGTCGTGGGATTTTGCACTTCTCTCCCAAAACCACACTCTGCAGGGTAGAAGGTCCTGGATTCTAAAGGAGGGTACCCTTAAAAGGGGACAAATGAGTGCCCATTGAACTACACATTACAGCTGCCACAGGGGAATTGGACAGTATGTGTCCAGAGACCAGCGGGTGAGAAGAGGAGTCCCCTCCTCTCCAGGCACAGGTAATAGATCCTGATCCCCAGGAGGAGGCATGGCTGCTGTCACACAATGAGGGTAGGAGGAGTTCGTGTGGAACCCAGGGATCCCCTTGGGGGCCTCCTGGTTCCCCTTGTCCCATTGTAAGTGTGAGGAGAATCGTCCAGCCACCCAACCTGAGAGGGTTTGATTTCCAAGAGCCCAGACCCCTCAGGAAGGAAGATTTCAGTCGCATTTCCAGGTAATTTCCCAAGGCCTCGTTCCTGTGCTCTGACATCCTCAGCAGCATTGGTGCAGAGGCCCTACTTCTCTCAGGCTGTTCCCAGCGGGTGATGGGTCACACCAGGGACACCAAAGCAGGACCATTCCTGGGACACAGAGGACTCCTTTGATGGCCAATAGTGGCTGGAGGACTCTTCCACGGCCTTGATCAACTCTCCTTAGATTACCTGTGTTCTAGAATGCATCCAAAACACCTTCTCTCCTTCTGCCCATCACTTGGGGGCACACTTGCATCTCAGTCTATTGCCTTTTCCAGAGTTGTAATGTAAAAATGAGATCATTTCTGCCTTGATTGTAATTGTAATCTGTAATTAAATATATGTGCAGATTTACTCCTCCGGGCGGGCCCCTCGCTCCTTCCCGCAGAGGCCTTTTCCCTCCCGACCCCGCACTCACCTGCCCAGGTCTGGATCAGGGCCACGGCTCCCGAGAACAGCAGGAGGAGGGTTCGGGACTCCATGACCCGCAACCTTGGCGTCTGGGGAGAATCTGAGTCCCGGTGGGCCGGCGAGGACTTTAGAACCAGGAACCGCGGCGACACTGATTGGCTGATCTAGGAACCCAACACCCAATGGAAGTGAGAACTGAGGCCGCATCATGAGTATCCAGGTAAAAGGACCTGACACAGGTTGGGAAAGGTGGAAGAGAGAGAGCGGAGCTCGGGAAACCCCAAAGCTGAGCCGGCCCATCCCAGGCACCGCCCTCGGGGCCTGAAGCCCAGAGAGCCAAGCTCCGGGCCCTGGGACTTGGCTCTTACCCCCTTCTTTTATATCAAACGCTCTGTCTCAATGTCTCCCCGAATCTTGGCCCCGGAGCTGTCTGAGAAACCAGAGAAAAACCCTCAGCATGGGCTCAGTCCCTCTCCCTTCACTTTTCATCCCAGAATCCCCCTCCCTGAACTGGACTTCCTGCCTCCCATTCCTTGCCTGTCCCCCTGGACTCTTCTAGAAGAGAGCTCACCCAGGCAGCTTGATGCCACAGAGTGAGCTTCTCCTGGGAATGGAGGGAAAGACGGGGGTTGTTTTTTCTTTAAATCTGAAAAAGTTGTGCACCTGGGGATTTATGTGGTCTTTTGTCTTTGCAGGTATTTGTTTAGAAACAAAAGAAAGGCAGTTTTTCCATGACTCAGATTAATCTGGAGCAAATCCCTGGAACACTGATCAGCAGTCCCCTTTGACCCCTGCAGCAGTCTTGGGCACTGTGACTTTTTCTCTCAGGCCTTGTTCTCTGACTCATACTCAGTGTGTGTGGGGGTCTGATTCCAGCTCTTCTGAGTCCCTCGGTCTCCACTCAGGTCAGGACCAGAAGTCACTGTTCCTCCCTCAGATACTGGAACTTTCCAAGGAATAGGAGATTATCCCAGGTGCCTGTGTCCAGGCTGGTGTCTGGGTTCTGTGCTCCCTTCCCCACCTCAGGTGTCCTGTCCATTCTCAGGATGGTCACGTGAGTGCTGCTGGAGTGTCCCATGAGGAGTGCAAAGTGCCTGAATTTTCTGATTCTACATTTTTATTTGCCCCAGAGAAAGAATCCACAGTCCACCCTAGGTCCCTCCTAGAAACAAGGGTGTCTGCCTTACAGAAAGATATAAGCGCAGAAGCCTCTGTCTCTATGGAGATGAGGTGTGCCGTCCTCCCAGCACGTGGACATGCGGATGTGCTCACCAACTGGGAAGTTCTCCAAAACTCACTGTCTAGAGGTGTCTATGGAAGTTTCATTGTGTAGGCAAGATTGGTGAAATCATTGGCCATTGATGACTGAGCTCAACTTCCAGCCCCCTTTTCTTCCCCAGAGGATGGGGATGGCAGTGAAAGTTCCAATCCTCTAATCACAGCTGGTGTTTCTGGCAAGCAGCCTCCATCCTGAAACTATCTAGGAGCCCCTCACCCCATAGTCATCTCATTGCCATATTAAAATCATGCTTATCACTGAGGGACTGCAAGCGTTTTAGGACCTGCCTGTCAGGGACTAGGGGCAAAGACCAAATATATTTATTGGATCACAGATCACTTCCTGGTCTTTAACCACATTATTTCTTCTTATAATTTCTATTTATTTATTTATTATTTTATTTTAGAGACAATGTCTTGCTCTGTTGCCCAGGGTAGAATGCAGTGGCACAATCATAGCTCACTGTAACCTCAAATTCTTGGACTCAAGTGATCCTTCCGCCTCAAGTCTCCTGAGCAGCTGGCACTATAGGTGCACACCACCATGGCTGACTAATTTTTAAATATTTTGTAGAAATGCAGTCTCATTATGTGCCCCAGGCTGTTCTGCAACTGTTGGCCTCAAAAGCAATCTTCCCACCATGGCCTCTCAAAGTGGTGAAATTATAAATGTGAGCCCCTTTGCTTGGCCAACCACAGATCTCCTATAGCAGAAGAATCATAGCAGTAAAAAGATACTGGCCCATTACCAGAGTCCTGTTTAGTCATTATCAATTCGCCCATTGCAGTCCAAAAATAGCAATGGTCTCAGCAACATATGGCTTCAACCTTTCAGACATCTGGTAAAAATGAGATAAAAGACAATATCATCATTCGTTTATACCTCTTTTGAGGAGATCATGTTATATTGGATTTTCCTCATTACATACCCCATTTATTCATTCATTTCACCTCAGCTACTATTCTTCCTCTTCTGCATTTATACCAAATATTTCTCATTTTGGAAGGGACATTAGGTTTTCCTGCTGTGCTGGCCTATGCAGGGAGCTATACCATGCTAGTAACAGCGAGTGTCTCCCATCAGTCCATTCCAGTTCATAGAGGTTAGGGTTATTCAGGCAGAGAACTGGTTGGCTATCTGGCTTCCAGGCAATACAGCTGCATTCAATGTTAGCTCCAACTTTGCCAGATGCAGTGAAGGCACATCTACTCCAGGCCCTTAGGCAGTCTTGCATAATGGTTTTTAAATATGTTAACGGTTTCTTGCTCAGGAATAATTCCTGTGCCTGGACTTTTATTTGCATCCCTAGTCCTGAGACCACTGCATCAGGTATGAGAAAAGCAAGTTGAGGTAAAGTATAGTCATAATTCTAGTGTCTTCTGGCCTTGGGAAGGATTGTTTTTATTTATTTATTTATTTATTTATTTATTTATTTATTTATTTATTATTTTTTAGGGAAGAATTGTATGTAGAATCACACCAGCACCTTTCCCTGATCCAGCAGGGAAAAAGAGGACACTCTCTAGTGGGGACATTCCTTTGTCCACACTCATGTCAAGAGCGAGCACACTCATGAAGGTGTATAGGCCCGCCCTTCATGCTTATGTCTCCCCGCTCCTGATTTATACACTCAATGTTTCAAATGACTATTTTAATTCTCTCTGAAACTCTTCTTCTGAGGAACAAATTTCTCTGACCATTGTTGGACATTCTGGGCAAGTGTGTTTCCTAGTGTAATGTGGCTCAGTGGTCCACATGGTGGCAATACCTCCCATTCACGTTTTTTTTTTTTTTTTTTTGGTCTCTGTCTCTGTCTCTTTTCTTGTTAAAGAGAATACTTCTTTTTTTTTCTTCTTTTGAGACACAGTCTTGCTCTGTTGCCCTGGGTGCAGTATAGTGGCGCCATCTCGGCTCACTGCAGCCTCTGCCTCCCAGGTTCAAGCCATTGTCCTGCCTCAGTTTCCTGAGTAGCTGGAATTACAGGCGTGCACCACCATGCCTGGCTAATTGATGTAGTTTTAGTTGAGACAGGGTTTCGCCATGTTGGCCAGGCTGGTCTCAAACTCCTGATCTCAAGTGATCTACCCACCTTGGCCTGCCAAAGTGCTGGGATTACAGGTGTGAGCCACTGTGCCCAGTCTTGTTAAAAAGAACAGTTTTACTGAGTATTTTGTGCTTATTAGAGGTGGGGGATGCAAGGGGAGTATGTCTTGATTCAGCCCATCTCTGCATTGCTACAGCCTCAGTGTCTACTTATTTCGTAGACCCCGGTGATCTTCACAAGCAAATGTAAATTTTTTTGAGATGTGGTCTTGATATGTTTCCCAGGCTAGACTCAAATATTTCTCAGGCTAAACCCAAATGCCTGTACTCAAGATATCCTTCTGCCTCAGACACTCTCATAGCTGGGACTACAGGTGCACCTGGCAAGCACTTAGAGATAAATGCTTGTTGATTTCAATCACCTTCCAAACCTGGAAGGGAGTTATTCTGATGGGTATTGAACAGCACTGAGGGGATGGTACTAAACCATTCATGAGAAACCACCCCATGATTGAGTCACCTCCCACCAGACCCCAACTCCAACACTGGGAATTACATCTCGACATGAGATTTGGGTGGGGACAACATCCAATCTATATCAGGCATCAACATGTCTTACGTTAATGCACCCCTCAAATTACCATAGTGATTTCCATAGGACTGTGTCTCATATGGGCATTCTTTTCATAGGCCAGTTTTCCACTGCTTTCTTAATTAATTATATGGCCAGGCCATCAGTCACTGCCCATAAGTCAGTAAAACTAAAACATAGGAGCTTTTATCATTGTTCAATTCTTCCATCACTGCTAAGAAAACACCCTGCAATTCAGCCCACAAGAGCTGTTCTGTTTTTATCTTCTTTGATCAAAGGGGTAGACTTCCAAACAGGGTGTTGTCCATTCATCTTGCAAATGCTGTACACAAACCAACCAGCTCTTTATGGGTCAGGTGACTGATACTGCAGTTCAAATCCCAGGACAGAATTCCATCTTGCTTGGGGAAGGTCAGTGTTTCATTCAATTTACACCTTCAATGAATTGAATGAAGCCTGTCCACATTATAGAGGTCAATCTACTTTACTCAAAGTATAGCAATTTATATGTTAATCATATCCAAGAAACATCCTAAAAAGATCATCCAGAATAATGCTTGACCACGTATCTTGGCACCAGGTCCAGGTGACAAATAAAATTATTTATGACATTCTTCAATACAATAATATTCTAAGGAAATTAGCCTTTGTAAAGGAAGGAATAAACAACTGTTTCTGAAAATGTATAACCAATCATCAACAAACTCTCCCTATAGATTGTTTCCTAAGTTCGCTTTATAGTTGTGAGTGAGAGTAACATGTATTTGTTCAAAACCAGAGAAGGAGAGAAAATTGAAAAAGCAGAAAGCAAAAATGAAAAACACAAAACACAACACATAAGAAGAATAATAAAGATGACAGCAGTTATTTCATTGGAAACAATGCAAATGAGGGACAGATGACCAACATCGCTAAAGTTCTGAAAGACAACTGCTGTCAAACTAGATTCTATTTCCAGAAAAAAAACCTTTTAAAAACATATATATATGTATAATTTTAATTGACATATAATAATACATTCATGAGGTACTGTGTGATGTACTGATATATGTATACCATGTGTAATGATTGCATCAAGCTACTTAACAGACTCTAAAGATATCTATAAAAAAAGGGATTTTAGACTTATAGGGAGTGAAAAAATACATAACCAGCAGACACGAACTGTAATAAGTGTTTCAGTCCTTCAGGCAAAAAGAAAATTATACCAAAAGCAAATATGTAATGAAGAGCACCAGAAATGGTAAGCACATGGGTAGATACATAAGATTTTTTCATAATTTTAAAATCTTATTAAAAGACAACTGTAATGCCTTCACCAAAAATGGTAGAGAACTCCAACAACACATTCCCCAACTAAAGCAACTATTAACCTGGAAAAAAACTATCAAAATTAAGTTTTTCTGTACTCTGGAGTCTATGAATTTTTTTTTTTTTTTTTTACAACAACCAAAGTAGTGCTTAATGAAAAAGGAGCTCTAGATTTTGGTAGGAGAGCATGTGCCACTATTCCTTAGCCACCTACTCACTCCCACCCCCACACCCTCAGCTATGAGGCAGCCATGGGGACGGTGTCCCACATTCCTGGTGTAGTTTCCTGATGCCAGAAAAGGCAAAATGAACTTTCTTTTCAAAGAATTGTGTTTGTGTCCTTTGACATGCATGATAGCCCCCAAAAAGATCAGCTTAGAGGCTGGTCTTTGCTTCACTCCTCTTGGAACTTTATTAAGATTGGAGAGGTCTCCATAGCAATGTTTGTCAAAAGCATTTAAAGGCAAATACTAGTCACAGATGCCTGGGGCATGGAATGATGGATGGGTTAACAGCAGACAGACTGAAAAGCCTAGGGAGGTAGAGGCTGGAGATGGAGATACATAAGGCAATATGGCTTTCAAAATATCCCGCATATACTGAGGAAATCAGAATGTCACATACATGGCCAGGGCTAAACACTGGATATTTAGCCCTGGATGCCCACATTCTTTAAAAAGACCTGAGATGACCTTAGGCTTTTACCTCTGGGTGATCTTTAGCCTCCAAGTAAGCAGCCAGTGAAGGTTAAGGTGGACGTCTAAACTGCCTGGTTAAGTGTTGAAGAAGTGTCCCAACTCAGAGTCCATCTGCAAAGCCTGGGAGGGCATTAATTATTTATTTTTTTGGCTCCAGCTGTTTAAGGAAACCTCTGTCAAATCACTAGCTGACCATGAAGCTAACAGAATAGATTTTAGTGACCACACATGACAAAGAACAGCTTAACAATAGTTTAGAAAAGTCACTAAGAAACAACTCCATCCTCAAGTGGCAACAAGAAACTCTGGGGAGTGGAAAGAATATGGTATCCAGAGTTACTAGATTGTTGTATTCAAAGTGTTCAGTTTTCAGTGAAAATTCTTGAGGTATTTAGAAGTTTAAGAAAGTGGCCCATTTGCAGAAAAAAATACATCAGCAGAACCTGTCCCTAAGGAAGCCAAGTCATTGGACTTACTAGACCAAGACTTTAAACCAATAGTTTAAATATGCTCAAATAGATAAAAAAGACCGTGGACTCTCTCTCTATATATGTAAATATATATATGTATGTATATATATACACATATATGTGTATGTGTGTGTATATATATATGTATATATGTAAAGGAACCAGAAGAACAATATCTCACCAAATAAAGACTCATTAAAAATATAATAAGGAAACAGCAATTCTAGAAGGGAAAATATAATTACTGAAAAAAAATTCATTAGAGATGTTCAATAGCAGACTTGAACAGGTAGAAGAAAGAATCAGCAAACGCGAAGCCAAGTCATCTTAAATCATAGACTTTGAGGAATAGAAATGAAAAAAGGAACAAAAAATAGTGAACAGAGCCTAAGGGACTTGTGGGACACCGCCATGCTGACTAATATATGCAGAGTTTAGCAGGCAGAAGAACCAGCAAATTGAAGATAGGCCAATTACGATTATGCAATCTGAAGAGCAGGAAGAAAAAAAAATAAAGGGAAATGATCAGAGGCTATGACACCTCTGTACAGCATCAAGTGGACTGACAGATGCATAATGGGAGTTCCCAAAGTAGAGGAGAGATAGAAAGAGAGAGTAAAAATATAGGGTAACAGGTGAAACCTTGCCAAAGTTGATAAAAATCTGTGAATCTACCAAGCAGAATAAACTCAAAGACATCCAAACCAAGAAACATTATAACCAAACTGTTGAAATAGAAGCAGAGAGAACTTGGACAGCAGCAAGAAACAAATAATGCATCATGTACAAGGGATCCTCATTGAGATTAACAGCCAATTTCATACCAGAAAACACTGAGGAAAGTCAGAGTGGTATGACATGTTTAAAGTGCTACAAAAATAAAGCTGTCAACCAAAAGTTCTATATCTAGAAGACTTATTCTTCAAAAATGAAAATATGCAGTTTTGCAATATGAAAGGAGTTCTGGAGATTGGTTTGCAAAACAGTGTGAGTGTTCTTAGCACTACTGAACACTACCACTACAAATGGTTAAGATGGTAAATTTTATGTGCATTTTATCACAATTAATAAATTAAAATAAATGAAGGAGAAATTGAGATGTTTCCAGTTAATTAACAACTAACTGAAAGATTCCATTGCCAGTAGATTTTTCCTATAAGAAATACTAATGTGAGTCATTCAGATTAAAATGAAAGGGCCCTAGACAACAGCTCAGAGACACATAAAGAGATATATGCAAAGAACCTCAGTAAAGGTGTTAAGACAACTCAATGTGTTAAAGTATACACTCTTCATCTAATGGAGCTGGCACCTGGATGCCCACATTCTAAAGGATGAAGTTGAGGGGCTGGAAGTGGTGACTCCACCTGCAATCTCAGCATTTTGAGGGGCTGAGACAGGAGAATTGCTTGGACCCAGGAGTTCAAGGTTACCATGAGCTCTGATTGCACCACTGCACTGTAGCCTGGGTGACACAGACACTGTCTCTGCAAAAGAAAAAAAACAAAGAAGTTGAAACCCTACCTCACAGCATATGTATAAATCAACACAAAATGGATCAGAGACCTACATGTAAGGGCTAAATTATAAAACTCATAGAAGAAAATAGAGAGGGCTCTATTTTAATAATTTTTTCCTGTTTGTTTATCCCTGAACAAATACTTCACTTTTCTAATCACTGTGGCTTTCAAATATCTGTTGATATCTGATAGTTTAAGTCCTCCAATTGTGTTCTCTTCCAATATTGTTCTGGCTATTTTAAGCTCCTCACATTTTTGTATACATTTTAGAAGAAGCATGTCAATTCCCACAAAAAAAACTCTTGGGAGTTTTATTACAATTGCATTGACTCCATGGATCACTTTGTGGATAAACGGTATCTTAGCAATATTGTCTTCCTCATATATATGAAATAACTATCCACTTAATTTGTCTCAGCAATGTTTTGTAATTCTGAATGATGAGATTTTGTATAACTTTTATATTTATTTCTACAATTTATGTTTCTTTGTGGTATTGTACATAGAGCTATTTAAAGAATGTCAGTTCTTCTCACTGTTTATTACTCACGTATAGAAATGTTACTTTTTGCTTTATACTGGCCTTGCCAAATTCACTTATTTTTAATAGTCTGTTCATAGAGCTTCTTAAATTTTCTTCATACACGATAATGTTTTCCTTGAAGAAGACAGTCATATATCTTATGTAATCTATTTTTGCTGTTGGACACACAGTACAATGTTAAATAAAAGTGATGATAGTGGACATCCTTCTCTTGTCCCCACCTCAGAGGAGTGTTTAATATTTCTTCGTTAATTATGACTTTAGATTTAGGTATTTCTTTGTATTTCTTTGTTGTAAATAACTGTATTCTGTTAGGGAAGTTCCCTTTTATGTCTAGTTTATTTAGTTTTTATTATGAATGCCTACTGAACTTTATCAAATGGTTTTCCTGCATCTATTGATATAACCACATGTTGTCCTACTTTTCTCTATTTTTGGGGTAGATTATTCTGACATTTTGAAGTTAAATCTACCATGTATTTCTCTTATAAATCCCATTTGGTCATTATGTGTTATCCATTTCATATATTATTTGGTTCTATTTACTAATATTTTAATTGGAATTTTGGAGGCTATGTTCATCAGATCATTTCGATGATGAGTTTATTTTTCTTGTAATATAATTGTCATGTTTAGGTCCTTGTCTGACTTATGTTGCCTCATAAAATTAGTTGGAAGGTGTTTACTCTTTATTATCTAAAAAATATAAGACAGTGTATTAATCTGTTATCATACTGCTAATAAAGACATACTCAAGACTGGGCAATTTAAAAGGAAAGAGGTTTAATTGACTCAGAGTTCAGCATGACTGGGGAGGCCTCAGGAAACTTATAATCATGGCAGAAGAGGAAGCAAACACATCCTTCCTCACATGGCAGCAACAAGGAGAAGTGCCAAACCGAAGCAGAAAAAGCCCCTTATAAAACCATGAAGTCTTGTGAGAACACACTATCATGAGAACAGCATGAGGGGAACCACCCCCATGATTAAATTGTCTCCCATCGAGTCCCTCCAACAACGCGTGGGGATTATGATAACTACAATTCAAGATGAGATTTGGGTGGGCAAACAGCCAAACCATAGCACACAGTCTGCCTTTCATGTCTGTGAGTTCCACATCTGTGAATTCAACAACCTTAGGATTGAAAATGTTATGTTGCTGCTGATGTATACTCTGTAGTTAGGAGTACCTACAGTGGTTATGTCTGTACTGAAGATGTACAGACATTTTTCTTGTCATTATTTCCTAAGCAATACAGTGTAACAACTATTTACAAATAATTTACATTGCATTAGGAATTATAAGTAATCTAGAGATGATTTAAAGTATATGGGAGGATGTGCATAGCTAATAGGCAAATACTAGGCTATTTTATATATGGGACCTGAGCATCCATGGATTTTGGTATCCACAGGTGCCCTAGAACCCATCCCAAAAGGTACCAGAGGAAGACTGTATAAGGCTGACATGCCTTTTAAAAAGTTTTTGAAAGAATTGACAGGTGAAGAAATCTGGGCATGGAGTTTCTCTGGTGGGAAGGAATGTATTTAGAACTCAATTTCTGAATGGATATAGGATTATTTATATTTTCTACTTAGTTTTCTGTTGGCTTTGTTCAACCGTCTTTTTCAAGAACTCATGTCACTATACCTAAATTTTAAAAGCTCTTTCCATGAAGTTGTGTCTAACTTTCTCTTATTTTTGTTTTAATAAAATCTACAGTTTTATAATGTCCCTTCTCATAGTGTTCATTTGTGTTTTTTCTCTTCTTATGATTAATCTTTCTGGGAATTTTGAAATAGTTTGCCCATCTTTTCCTCTATTTTCCTTAACATATTAATCATAAATATTTTGAAGAATGTCCTTGTTTGCTGACTTCAATATTCAGATCATCTTTGAGTTGGCTTCTGTTGATTATTTCTTCTTTAGTTGCTGCATTCTCTCTGCTGCTTGGCATGGCACATATTCTACATGATGGATTTTAGAGGCTCTGGGTTTTGTTATCTTCCTCCAAAGACTGGTAATAGTTTGACAGTTAGGTAATTATCAAAGAATCACCTTTAGTAAAAATCAGACCCACTTTGATTCTGCTTACTCTTGATTTTAGCCTTTGCTAGGGTGAGTCTATTTCAGTGTGGTTCTTACTCCAAGGTCACGGTCCTCACTTACGTGGCTTCCCCATCCTGATGTCTCAACACAGGTTTTGCAGGGCTGAAATTCCAACATCTCCTCACACTATGGAGCCTGTGACATTTCTACTTAGCATGCAATCTCCAAGAAGCTGTTCTCCAGTGGGCTTCTTAGAGTGTCATCTGGAGCATATGCAGCTCAGGAGTGCAGATTTTGGGGGTTTCTTGTCTGTAACTCCCTCCCTCAGCACCCTACCCCTAAATCCCAGTCAATGTGCCAAGCCTGAACTCTGATCTCTGTTTCCTTTGCCGACGAGACTGATTTTCTCTGCTTGGGTTCCATTTCTCTTCATTGTATTTTGGCAAATGCTTCTGGAAAGAAAGCTGATAAGGATGTGAATCTCCCTTTCAGGAACTTCCATTCTCCAAAAGGTGATAGTCCTGTGCTGGTTGCTGTTTTGTGGCTGCACAACTGCATTGTATGTTTTTTGTGACTTTTATACTTGTTTACCGTGGGAGGATGAGTTTAAAATGAGCTATTCTCTGACGGTTTGAACCCGAAGACCTCTAAGCCTCCAATGGTCGTTTGCATTTCAAATTCTGCATGGGGTAATTTGACACCTCACAGGAAAAGTTAATATGTTTTTACCTTGGTGCCTAGTTGATACCTCAATTTCAGTGTTAATCTTACACACAAAATACAAACACACACACACACACACCCCACTGTGTTATAGAGTCATGCATTGTATAATGATGTTTGGGTCAATGATGAATTGCATATATGACTGTCGTCCCATGAGAGTTTAATGGACCTGAAAAATTCCTATCACCTAGTGACATGAAGCCATCATAACCTCATAGTACGATGCATTAATCATGTGTTTGTGGTGATGCTGCTGTCAACAAACCTACTGCACTGCCAGTCCTATAAAAAGTCTAGCATATACAGCTATGCACAGTACATAATACTTCATAATGATAATAAATGACTATGCTATGTTTTATGTATTTACTATACTTTTTATTGTTATTTTAGAGTGTGCTCCTTCTATATATATAAAAAAATTAAAACAGCCTCAGCCAGGTCCTTTAGGAGGTATTCCAGAAGAAGGCATTGTTATCACAGGAGATGGCAGCTCCATGGGTGTTATTACACCTGAAAATCTTCCAGTGGGACAAGATGTGAAGGCTGAAGATGGTTGATATTGTTGGTCTTGACCCTGTGTCAGCCTATGCTAATGTATGTCTTTATTTTTACCAAAAAAGATTAAAAGGTAAAGATAATTAAATAGGAATAAGCTTCTAGAATGGGAATATAAAGAAAAATATTTTTGTAGAGCTGTATAACGTGTTGACGTTTTAAGCTAAGTGCTATTACAAAAGAGTAGAAAAGTTTAAAAAGTTTATAAAGGACTTCATGTCTAAAACACCAAGCAATGGCAACAAAAGCCAAAATTGACAAATGGGATCTAATTAAACTAAAGAGCTTCTGCACAACAAAAGAAACTACCACCAGAGTGAACAGGCAACCTACAAAATGGGAGAAAATTTTCGCAACCTACTCATCTGACAAAGGGCTAATATCCAGAATCTACAATGAACTCAAACAAATTTACAAGAAAAAAAAAACAACCCCATAAAAAAGTGGGCGAAGGACATGAACAGACACTTCTCAAAAGAAGACATTTATGCAGCCAAAAAACACATGAGAAAATGCTCACCATCACTGGCCATCAGAGAAATGCAAATCAAAACCCAATGAGATACCATCTCACACCAGTTAGAATGGCAATCATTAAAAAGTCAGGAAACAACAGGTGCTGGAGAGGATGTGGAGAAATAGGAACACTTTTACACTGTTGGTGGGACTGTAAACTAGTTCAACCTTTGTGGAAGTCAGTGTGGCGATTCCTCAGGGGTCTAGAACTAGAAATACCATTTGACCCAGCCATCCCATTACTGGGTATATACCCAAAGGACTATAAATCATGCTGCTATAAAGACACATGCACACGTATGTTTATTGCGGCACTATTCACAACAGCAAAGACTTGGAACCAACCTAAATGTCCAACAACAATAGACTGGATTAAGAAAATGTGGCACATATACACCATGGAATACTATGCAGCCATAAAAAATGATGACTTCATGTCCTTTGTAGGGACATGGATGAAATTGGAAATCATCATTCTCAGTAAACTATCGCAAGGACAAAACACCAAACACCGCATGTTCTCACTCATAAGTGGGAATTGAACAATGAGAACACATGGACACAGGAAGGGGAACATCACACTCTGGGGACTGTTGTGGGGTGGCAGGAAGGGGGAGGGATAGCATTAGGAGATACACCTAATGCTAAATGACGAGTTAATGGGTGCAGCACACCAGCATGGCACATGTATACATATGTAACTAACCTGCACAATGTGCACATGTACCCTAAAACTTAAAGTATAATAATAAAACAAAAAAGTTCAAAAGGTTACAGAAAGCTATGGTAACTAATTATTAATTAGTTATTAATTGTTAATAAATAAATAATAAAATTATTAGTTAATTATTAATAAGTTAATTTATTATTAAAGAAAGAAAATGTTAAAATCAATTTAGTGTAGCCTAAGTTTATAAAGTCTAAGTAGTGTACAGTAATGCCCTAGCCTTCACATTCACTCACCACTCACTCACTCACTCACCCAGGGCACTTCTAGTCCTGCAAGCTCCATTCATGGTAAGTGTCCTAGACAGATACGCCATTTTAAAGATCTTTTTATTAATCACATTTTTACTGTACCTTTTCTCTGTTTACACATGCTTAGATCCACAAATACTTACCATTGTGTTAGAATTGGCTGCAATGTTCCATACGGTAACATGCTATATAATTTGTAGCCTAGAAGCAATGGGCTTATCACGTAGCCTAGGTGTGAAGTAGGTTATACCATCTAGGTTCATGTAAGGACACTCTATGATGTCCACACATGACAAAATCACCTAAGGACTCATTTCTCAGAAGCTATCTCACCATTGAGCGAAGAATGACTGTATATGTATGTAAGTCCTTTGAAGTTTAAACATTTTCAATTTGATACATTTGTGTCTCATTTAAGAAATATTTTCCATTCCAGCAGATGTGAAGAAAAAAAAAAGAGGCTGGCACAGTGCCTCATGCCTGTAATCCCAGCACTTTGGGAGGCTGAGGTGGGTGGATCGTTTGAGCCTAGAAGTTTGAGACCAGCCTGGGAAACATGGCAAAACCCCATCTCTACTAAAAATATAAAAAGGAGCCAGGCATTGTCTCACATGCCTGTTGTCTCAGCTACTCAGGGGGCTGAGGCAAGAGGATCACCTGAATCTTGGGAGGTCAAGGCTGCAGTGAGCCATGATCGGGCCACTGTAATTTAGCCTGAGTGACAGAATGAGACCCTGGCTGGAAAAAAAAATAAAATAAAAAAGAAAGATTTTCCTACCCAAATAATTTAGGTTATCCTCCTAATAACTTTGGCAGTAATTTTACTTTTTCATATTTGTCTTTACTGCTCATATAATTTTTTGTTTATATCAAGGTATAGAGATATAATTTAATCATGGCATGTTTAGTAGACTATCGATGCTGGGAAAGGGCTTAGGAGATGATGATGAATCAAAACATGGGATAGAGGCTGGGTACGTGGCTCAGGCCTGTAATCCCAGCATTCTGGGGAGCCAAGGTGGGTGAATTGTTTGAACCCAGGAGTTTGAGACCAGCCTCGGCAACATAGTGACACCTCATCTCTACAAAAAAATTTTTTAAAAAATTAGTTGGGCATGGTGGCATGTTCCTGTAGTTTCAGCTACTCATGAGGCTGAGGCTGGAGGATTGCTTCAGACAGGGAGGTCGAGGCTGCAGTGAGCAATGATTGTGCCACTGCACTGCAGCCTGTGACGTTTGTTTGTTTGAGACAGGGTCTCACTGTGTCTGAAAAAACCAAACAAACAAAAATTAAATAAAAAACCCACAGGATAGAAATCTCTATGGATAATAATACATGAATGAAAAGAAAGAATGACAGAGATCAAATTAATGAAGTCATTTCTGTGTGGAAGACTTCCTGATGATTTTGATGCTTTTTCCCCAAGGAATTTTTCTTTTTTTTCCAGGAAATATGTATGATATGAATTATGGTAAATGGCCCTTTCCTTTGACTTTTGAATCTCTGGTTTTCCTTCATCTCCGCTGACATCAGGACATTCCTGAGCATCACAAAGGTCCTGCAATCATAGCCATTTAGAACTTTGAAAAACGCAGTCACTCTCTTCCAAACCAGTATTTGTTAAAGCTGCAGAGAGAGTATTTTTTGGTTCTTGGGAGACAGAGAGGATGAAGGGGGTACTCATGCACAGAACATCTATTCCAACACTCCCATCCTCATCAGCCTTTAGTTCCTTCCTATACATTATACCAAAAAATTTCTCACATCTAATCCTGTTTAGTCAGGCCACGACTAAGTCAAATTTAAAAGCAACTCAACATTTAGATCCACTCTGAGTGTGGAAAATCTCACGTTGTTTTCCACTGCTCTCACACCACAACAACTATCAACACAGAAGACTTCTCTGACCAAATGTAGGGAATTTCTCCAACAAACAAGCAATCAGTTCTGTGATGGACACCAGCTGGGTGTCCTCTAACTGAATTCTGCCACTCTTTCCCTGGAGATAGCATCGCATCCCATGGGTTGAGAGCTCAGTCCCCATGACTGTCCCCCTCCCACTCCTGATGCCAGTCTCAAGCCTCCCACTCCTGATGCCAGTCTCAAGCCATTTTGCCCGTGTTTCTAACTAACTTGCTTTAAATCAGTGTTCCCATAACCTGTTTCTCAGGTTTGATTAATTTGCTAGAATGGCTCACAGAACTCAGGAAAACACTTACATATATTTACCAGTTTATTTAAAAAGATATTTTAAAAGACACAAAGAGCCCCATGAACAGACACATAGGGCAAGGTGAGAAGGGTTTCCAGTGCAGGAGCTTCTGTCCCATGGGGTTGGGATGCGCCACCCTCTCTGGCACATGGCTGAGTTCTTGTTCACCTCCTGTTAGCTTCCCTGTGTTCAGCTATCCAGAAGCTCTCCAAACCCTGCCCTTTTGGGTTTTGATGGAAGTCATATTTCTTAGGCATGATTCATTAAATCATTGGCCATCAGCTTAACCTTCAGCCTCTCTCCCCTCCCTGCCAATGAAATGATCCTATTTCTAGAAAAATCTGAAGACTCCATCAAAGAACTATTAGATATGATAAGTAAATTCAGTAGAGTTGTGGGATGCAAAATCAACATACAAAAATCAGTATAATGTCTATACATTATTAATGAAGTAGCTGAGAAAGAAATCAAAAAAGCAATTCCATTTACGATAACTAGAAAAAAATGCCTAGGAATAAGTTTATGCAAGGAAGTCAAAGATCTCTTAAAAATAAATCTATACAACACTGATGAAAGAAAGAAGAGGACACAAACAAATGGAAAGATATTCCATGCTCATGAATCAGAAGAATTAATATTAGTAAAATGACCATAGTTCCCAAAGCAATCTAAAGATTCAAGGGAATTCCAACAAAAATACCAAGGTTATTTTTCCACAGAATTAGAAAAAATAATTCTAATATTTCTATGGACCCAAAACATTTTTAAAAAGTCCAAATAGCCAAAGAAATCCTGAGCAAAAAGAACAAAGCTAGGGCCATCACACTACTTGACTTTAAAATACATTACAAGGCTATAGTATCCAAAACAGAATGGTATTGATATAAAAACAGACATGCCAATCAATGGAACATAATAGAGAATGCAGAAATAAATCCATATATTTACAGCCAACTGACTTTTAACAAAGGTGCCAAGAACACACATTTGGGAAAAGGACACCCTCTTCAGTAAAAGGGCTGGGAAAATGGATATCCCGTATGCAGAAGAATGAAATTAGATTCTTATCTCTCACCCTATTAAAAATCAACTCAAGTTGACTTAAATAAAATGAAAGACCTGAAACTATAAAACAACTGGAAGAAAACAGGGGAAACATTCTAGGCCAGTGGTCCGGGCAAAGGTTTTATGGCTAAGACTTCAAAAATATAGAAAACACAAATAAAACCAGACAAATAGGACTATAATAACTAAAAAAGCTTCTGCATAGCAAATAAAACAATTGACAGAGTGAAGAGACAATCTGCTGAACAGGAGAAAACATTTTCAAACAATTTATCTGACAAGGGACTAATATCCAGAATACTATAAGAAACTCAAACTACTCAAGAATTAAAAAACCAAACAATCTTATTAAAAAGTGGGCAAAGGGCATGAATAAATATTTTTCAGAAGAAGAATATAAATGGCCAACAGATACATAAAAAAATGTTCAACATCACTAATCATTAGGGAAATGCAAATCAAAACCACAATGAGATGTCATCTTACCCCAGATAGAATAGCCACAACTGAAAAGACAAAAATAAAATAAATAAAATAAAATAAAATAACAGATGCTGGTGATGTGGAGAAAAGGGAACTCTTGTACGCTGTTGATAGGAATTTAAATTAGTACAGCCACTATAGAAGACAGTATGGAGAGTTTTAAAAAATCTAAAAATAGAACCACTATATTATCCAGCAATTCGGGGGTGGGTTTGGAAAGTGCTGGAGTTCAGGGATCAGGGTTGGCAGAGAGCAGGGCCTGGGGGTGCTTGGGTAGCTGGAGGAGAATGAAGGAGGCAGATGCCTGGGTACCAGGGTATCAAAGTGAGGGAAGTGCGGGGCTGTCCCAAGAGGGCAGGAGACTAACAGAAGAATTCTTGAGACCTGTTGGGAATAGGGAAGGGTGGAACCCTCAGGATCCAGGGCAAGGGGTCAGAATCTTGGGCCAGGCTCATCGCTGAGCTCTTTGTAACCCACCACCATCTTCAGACTCCCAGCTAAGTTGTGCACGTATCCTCCAAGAGCATCTCCTTGGCTGCCAGCAGAGGGACCTGCTCTCTGCCTGTGACCCTGTGGCCACTGGGCCTGGCAAGGTAGCTCCTGCTGTCAAAGACAATGAAGAGGCAGCCATCCAGCAAGCCGAGTGCTGTGACCCCAGGCTTCCCGGGGCTGGACTCTGCTAGGACAGTAAGGCCCGAGCACAGAAAGTGGGGCCCTCAACCTACCAGGGCTGGGCCCCTTAGCCCCTGTCCTTCACTCTCTTTTCTTCAGGATCCTAGGAACTCCCTCCTGCTTTACACACACCTACACCTACACACACACACACACACACACACACACACCCCTTCTAAAGAAACACTTCCCACTTTTCTCTCCTCCCTGACTCCTTTCACCCTCCTCCTTTTTCCTCCTCCTCTTCCTCCCCCCCCCTTATAAAGAAAAAGGTTTAATTGACCTACAGTTCCAGTGTTTGGTATGATTCCTTCTTCTCTTATGATCCATTTCATCTCCCTTCTGCTCTCTGGAGCCTCCCTCCTTCCTGGACCGAGGCCCCAAGGTTGGAGCTCACAGACTGATTCCTGGGATGAGCAGCCTCCACCTGCAGGAGCAGTGGCAGGAACAAGGGAGGGGACAGGAGGCCAAGGTCCCATCCTGGAGGCTGGGGGACTGGGTCGTGCATTAGCAAGGGTTTGGGGTTGAGTCAGCTCCAGACCTGATCCTGCTGTTTTGGTCTGGAGGCCTCCCTCTGCCCTGAGACAAAAGTCCAGTCAATCAGTTGTGGGAGAAAACGTTCATATCAACATGGATTTTGGGAAGCTGGATGAACTCAGAGCCTGACACGAGACCGGGAGACTCTCTTCTGTGCAGAGTCCCGTCCAGGTGCGGGGAACAGGGGGAGAGCCTGGGACGTCCTGGCTGGGGAGAAAGGGGAGCGGGGTCCTTTGTCTTCAGTCCTGTGGCCACACGGGGGCGCCGCCACACTGCTCTCGGATTCTGACTGAGCGCTTTCGGGGACCAGGCTGCGGGCTGAGTGGGGCAGACGGGGCTGATCCTGAGGTCATCCACGCCAGGATGGAGGCGTCTCCTGAGCAGCCCTGGAATCCACAGGACTCAGGCTAGATTTGCTTGTCCTGCAACGTGAGGCAATTGTGAAGTAACAAGGTCTGGCTCTAGAATTCTTATGGCGAATACGGCTGTCATAAAATCCAACCAGAATGAGAGTCCAGCGCCTGAGTTGACTGTCCTGGGCACACCCGGCTTTGACGGGGTTGCCAAAAACTTAACTTTGGCACTCACAGAAATTTCAATGATTGTGGAAAACTCCGAATAAGTGTGTACGATTTCATTTCTGATGTCTCTGGCGCTTTTGAAAGGCCAGAAAGAGCCATGCAAAGAGGCTGAAAGGCTCCTCTGGGAATTCTCAAATCCCTTTTCATAGCAGTAAATTGTACCTAGAGAGCCAAGACTGAAGGACATAGAGAGAAGGATCTGGAGACGGAGCCGTCTTTTCTGAGCAGCACGGACGGGGCTGTCAGGGCGCTTTTCCCCTCTGTGTTCAGCAGGATGGACTCTGCAGTGAGGCGCAGCCCCTGTCTCCCGGGAGCCTCAGGGCCACACATCCTCCCGATGCCCCATGTCAGGAGCATCTTTTTCCTTATCTTGTTTTTCACGACTCCTTTCCTTTTTCTGTCCTGTGGCTACTAATACAACAGACAGACAAGATCTTATAAGACCAGATAAAAGATGTCACTGATGATGGCTAAGACATGATTATGAAGGAACAGTGGAAGATACAGACAGAGCAAGAGAAAGAGACAAAACACAGAGAAAGAACAGAAATAGAAAAACACAGAAAAAGAATATCCATCCATCTATCCATGCTTCTGTCTACCTATCTACCTCCTTGCAAGGTAGGTACATCAACACTTTTTTTTTTTTGAGATGGAGTCTCGCTCTGTCACCCAGGCTGGAGTGCAGTGGCATGATCTCAGCTCACTGCAATCTCCGCCTCCTGGGTTCAAGCAATTCTCTGCCTCAGCTTCCCAAGTAGCTGGGATTACAGGCGTCTGCCACCATGCCCGGCTAATTTTTGTATTTTTAGTAGAGATGGGGTTTTACCATGTTGGTCAAGCTGGTCTCGTACTCCTGACCTCGTGATCCACCCACCTCGGCCTCCCAAAGTGCTGGGATTACAGGCATGAGCCACCGCGCCCAGCCACATCAACACTTTTAAATTCATGCTCCAATAAAATCACAAGCTTTTTTTTGCTGGCTCACACCTGCCTCCTTCATCCAGCTGACTGATGTATTTGCTGAAGTCTTGCCATGTTCTGCACTGGGTACTGAGCATTGGAGTCTAAACAGGAACAGATCCCTGTGATGCACTCACATGGGGCCCTTTACTGTCCCGTCCCTGGCTGTGAGACATCCTCATCTCCCTGAGGCTCTTCTTTCTGGTTACTGGGAGAAGTTCCCGGCCCGCCTCCCTACTGACACCTGAGAGACTCCAACATCCTGGAACATCACTATCTTCGAATCGAGCACTGATTTTCAGCATTTATCCTGTGTCCACCACTTGAGTACTAAATACCCTTTTGATGATTTTCTCATTTAGAAGCTGCTAGAGAAGGATGTGGTTGTAACTTCAGGCATGTTGTTTAAGAGAAATCTAAAAATTAGGAAAATTCATGGAAAGGGCCTTTTCTGCTTACTTTCAGAACACTTCTTGTTCATCTTCTCATTGAGTTTGATTGCTGGAAAAGTGGCTTCCATATCCCCTGACTTAATGCAAGTAGTGGAAACACCTGCTCAGTGAACAAGTACTTTGGAAAATGCCCTCAGAACTTCACACATCAGAAAAACATGTGTGTCTCCCTGCTCAACCCTGGAGTTGCCAATATGCTACATGTTAATTCCTCACTGACCTTACTCAAGCCCTCTGGAAGAGAATGGTGCTCCTAAAAATGTCCCAGTGGCATGGGACAGCAAATTCCTCTGTGCTCACTGCAAGAAAGCACACAATTCAACTTTTCAATCCCATTGAGTATCTGAAAATGAACTGTATTTTCAATGTATTCCCCTCCAGAGAGTACATTGCAGAGGAAACCTGTTCAAATCCACAAATGATTTTGAGTCAAGAAGCTAAATATGAGGTCCTTCAAGAAAAGTTAAGAGATTCCCTGACCTTAAATTTCATGTTGCACTTATAAGATGGAGCTGTTAGCATCTGTCCCCACCTCTGGGTACCCGGCAGAATGTGCTGTCTTTTGGGACTCAGGGAGATAGTCACCCACACCAGGAGCACCAAATAAATCCCTAGGAGGGACTCCATGGTCCACCCAGGAGCCTCCTCAAGCAACTTCTTCCCCCAAATAACCTTGAAGTCCTAGAAATCAACTAAGAAAAAAGATATCCATGTCTTTGATTTAAAAAAAATAATGAAATGCCAACAGTCCAGCACCCAATAGGGAAGCTATGAGACTACATTTTCTGCATGTGGAGAAGACACATCTAATGGAGAAATGGGAAACTGCTTCAAAAGTGTTGGGCCACAGTGAGAGAATGTGGTTGTCACCACCACCACCCACTGCCCACTCACTCAGTAACCCCTCCCCATTTTAACAAACACACCAATGATGAGAAACACTTTGTACCTTCCTCTACTGTAATAAGCCTATTATCATGTCATCTCCTGTGGTTGATTTTTTCACTTAAGGATGACCTCTGGGCTTGTGATGGGAGAGGTTGCTGTGAAAGTCTCTGACATTCCCTGGAGATATTTTCCCCATTGTCATGGTGATTGACATTGAGCTCCCCCTTACTGATGCAAATTTCTGCAGTGGGCTTGAATTTCTCTCCAGAAAATGGGTTTTTATTTTCTATTGCATCATCAGGATGCGAATTTTTCAAACTTTTATGCTCTGCTTCCTCTTGAACACTTTGCTGCTTAGAAATTTCTTCTGGCAGATACACTAAATCATCTCTCTCAAGTTCAAAGTTCCACATATCTCTAGGGCAGGGGCAAAATGCTGCCAGTCTCATTGCTAAAGCGTAGCAAGAATCACCTTTATTCCAGCTCCCAACAAGTTTCTCATCTCCATCTGAGGCCACCTCAGCCTGGACTTCATTGTCCATATTACTATCAGCATTTTGGTCAAAACCATTCAACAAGTCTCTAGGAAGTTTCAAGCTTTCCCATATCTTCCTGTCTTCGGAGCCCTCTGAGTCTCTAGGAAGTTCCAAACTTTCCCACATGTTCATGTCTTCTTCTGAGCCCTCTAACCTGTCCCAACCTCTGCTTGTTACCCAGTTCCAAAGTCACTTCCACATTCCTGGGTATCTTTATAGTAGCACCCCACTCCTGGTACTAATTTACTGTATTAGTCCATTCTCACACTGCTATGAAGAAATACCTGAGGCTGGGTAATTTATAAACAACAGAGGTTTAATTGACTTACAGTTCCGCATTGCTGGGGAGGCCTTAGGAAACTTATAATCATGGCAGAAGGCACCTTGTCACATGGCAGCAGAAGAGAGAATTAGTGTAATCAGGGGAAATGTCAGATGCTTATAAAAGCATCAGATTTCATGAGAGTCACTCTATCATGAGAACAGCATGGGGGATCTGCCCCCATGATTCAATTAACTCCCACTACATTTCTCCCATGACACATGGGAATTATGGGAACTACAATTCAAGATGAGATTTGGGTGGGAACACAGCCAAACCATATCATTAATGCATTATGAAAGTCAAATTTATACATTCTAGATGCTTTGTGAGGCTGTCTAGAAAGCAGTTTGGAGACAATTCCTATAGGAAAAAATCAAATAATCTCTCCAAGATGATATTGCATTTAGAATTTCATGTTTGTCATTATTAAAATGGGGCCACCCAACTCAATTATCTAGAAAACTAAGTGTAGGCGAATTATGCTGGATACATTTAGCCATCACTCTTCAACAACACTATGAAATGGAAAAAACAAGGTATTAAGGCAACAACCTGCATGATGAATAAAATAGTACCTCACATCTCAATGCTAATGTTGAATGTCAATAATCTAAATGCTCCACTTAAAAGATACAGATTGGCAGAATGGGTAAAAATCCACCAATCGAGTATCTGCTGTCTTCAAGAGAATGCCTAACACATAAGGACTCACATAAACTGAAGGTAAAGGGGTGGAAATATTTCATGCAAATGGAAGCCAAAAGTGAGCAGGAGTAGCTATTGTTATATCAGACAAAACAGCCTTTAAAGCAACAACAGTTTAAAAAAAAAAAGACAAAGAGGAACACTATATAATGACAAAAGGATTAGTCTAACAGGAAAGTATCACAATCCTTAATATATATGCACCTAACACTAGGGGTTCCAAATTTATAAAACAATTATTACTGGATCTAATAAATGAGATAGGTGGCAACACAATAATAGTGGGGGACTTCAATACTTCACTGACAGCACTAGACAGGTCATCAAGAAAGTCAACAAAGACAAAATGGACTTAAACTATACCCTAGAACAAATGGACTTAACAGATATTTACAGAACATTCTACCCAACAACTGCAGAATATACATTTTTGTCATTATCACATGGAACATTCTCCAAGGTAGACCATATGATAGGTCACAAAGTAAGTCTCAATACATTTAAGAAAATCAAAATTATATCAAGTACTCTCTCAGACCACAGTGGACTGAAACTGGAAATTAACTCCAAAGGAACCCTCAAAACTGTGTGAATACATGGAAATTAAATAACTTGCTCTTCAATGATCTTTGAGTCAACATTAAAATCAAGATGGAAATTTAAAAATTCTTTGAACTGAATGATAATAGTGACACAACCTATTAAAACCCTGGAATACAGCAAAAGAAGTACTAAGACGAAAGTTCATAGCATTAAATGCCTACATGAAAATGTCTGAAAGAGCACAAAAAGACAATCTAAGGTCAAACCTCAAGGAACTAGAGAAACAAGAACAAACCAAACTCAAACCCAGCATAAGAAATAAAATAACAAAGATCTGAGCAGAACTAAATAAAATTGAAGCATGAAAAATGATAAATGAAACAAAAAGCTGGTTCTTTGAAAAGATAAGCAATTGATAGACCATTAGTGAAATTAACCAAGAGAAGAAAAGACCCAAACGAGCTGAAGTAGAAATGAAACAGGATATATTACAACTGATACCACAGAAATTCAAGGCTACCATGAATACCTTTACACACACAAACTAGAAAATCTAGAATAGATTGATATTGATAAATTCCTGGAAATATACAACCCTCCAGATTAAATCAGGAAAAAACAGAAACTGAACAGACCAATAACAAGTAGCAAGATTGAAAGAGCAATAAAAAAAAATTGCCAACCAAAAAAAGTCCAGGACCAGATGAATTCACAGCTGAATTCCATCAGACATTCAAAGAAGAATTGGTCTCAATCTTACTGAAACTATTTCAAAAGGTAAAGAGGGCATCCTCCCTAAATCATTCTATGAAGCCAAAAGCAGGAAAAGACATAACCAAAAAAGTAAACTACACACCAATATCCCTAATAAACATAGATGCAAAAATTCTCAACAAAATACTGGTTAATCCATCCAACAGCATATCAAAAAGATAATCCACCATGATCAAGTGGGTTTCATACCAGGGATGCAGGGATGGTTTAACATACGCAAGTCAATAAATGTGATACATCACATAAACAGAATGAAAAACAAAAATAATATTGTTATCTCGATAGATACATGTATTAGTCACGGTTCTCTAGAGGAACAGAACTAATAGCACATATACGTGTGTGTGTGTATATATATATATAAGAGTTTATTAAGTATTAATTTACACAATCACAAGTTCACACAATAGGCTGTCTGCAAGCTGAGGAGAAAGGAGAGCCAGTTCGAGTCTCAAAACTGAAGAACTTGGAATCTGATGTTCGAGGGCAGGAAGCATCCAGCATGGGAGAAAGATGTAGGCTGGGAGGCTAGGCCAGTCTCTCTCCTTTTCAAGTTTTTCTTCTTGCTTTATATTTGCTGGCAGCTGATTAGACTGTGCCCACCAGATTAAGAATGGATCTGCCTTCCCTGGTCCACTGTCTCAAATGTTAATCTCTTTTGGCAATACCCTCATAGACACACCCAGGATCAATACTTTGTATCATTCAATTTAATCAAGCTGACACTCAGTATTAACCATCACAAGTCCACCCCTTGTCAACTTGAACCCATACTCATCTCCTGAGATCATACATAATCTTCAAACAAAGACAATAATAAGGTCATAATTACACCAACATAATACAATGATCCTTCGTACAACCAGAAACGCACCAATCCCCAAGTACTATTACATAAAGTTAATAAAACTTAAATGCTGACATGAAGTCAATAAATCTTATGTCACATGATAAAGGAAAAGGAAATAAAATAAAGGTATTTTCTTAGTCCAAGTGTATACATGCACAAACATGACTTTTAGCAAAAGAAGGAGGAAATATTCATGACCATTGCAGTCCCTGTTTCTGCAGGTGGTCACGTGGGCATAGCTGGTATTGATGACTACCTTCTTCTACTACCCATTCTGTATTCCCTTTGCCTTCAGCAAGCACCTCAGCAGGTTGTGTTTTTTTTTCCTGGTGGAGTGACCCAAACCTACATTCCTGAGGGATCTGGGCCATTTGTAGTCCTGCCCGGATCGGGCTGTTGTAGTTTCCCATTGACCTTAATCACAGGGCATGGTAATACTAAGAGGCATCCTAATGGATCGCCTGTATTCCATGCATACTCTTCCTTACCTCTGTTGTGGAGTAGTAGACTGATTTCATCTTGATAGTCCAGGTCAATCACGCCAGCCAACACTAACTCCCTTCATAGCCTGTTGACTTAAATGTAGGAGGAGCCCAAAGTATCCAGGTGGCAATCTTAACTTCTAGTTTAATGAAATCGATGTTGTGTCTCCTGGTGGCAGCATTCCTCCCTCTGGAACTAAGACCTCTAGGCCAGCAGAACATAATGTTGTGGGAGCAGGAAGCAAAAATTTTGCTAGTGGGTCACTAGGGGTGATGGTGAGTGCTGCCACTTCCAATCCTTGATTCCTGTACTCGAGAATTCTGGCTATGGGAGAAACACTATCCTATATTGGATGCTGATTCAGAGCATACACAGTCTTCCGGAGAACTTTGCCCCAGCCCTGCAAAGTATCGTCACCTAGTTGGCATTGTTATTGTGACTTCAAAAGGTCATTACACCATTCTATCAATCCAGCTGCTTCAGGATGGAGAACATGGTAAGACCAGTGAATTCCATGAGCATGAGCCCACTGCTGCACTTCTTTAGCCATGAAGTGAGTGCCTTGGTTAGAGGCAATGCTGTGTGGAATACCATAAGGGTGGACAAGGCATTCTGTGACTCCATGATGGTAGTCTTGGCAGAAGCATTGCATGCAGGATAGGCAAACCCATATCCGGAGTAAGTGTCTATTCCAGTGAAGACAAACTTCTGCCCTTTCCATAATGGAAGAGGTCCAATAATCAACCTGTCACCAGGTAGCTGGCTGATCGCCCAAGGAATGGTGTCATATTGAGAGCTCAGTGTTGGTCTCTGCTGCTGGCAAATTGGGCACTCAGAAGTGGCCATAGCCAGGTCAGCCTTGGTGAGTGAAAGTCTATGTTGCTAAGCCTATGTATACCCTCCATCCCTACTGCCATAGCCACTTTGTTCATTGGCCCATTGGGCGATGACAGAAGTGGCTGGGAAAACAGACTGAGTGGTGTCCACAGAACGGGTCATCCTATTTGATTATTAAAATCCTCCTCTGCTTAGATCACCCATTGGTGGGCACTCACATGGGATACAAATATCTTTGTGGGTTTTGACCAGAGAGGTCCATCCACAAACCTCTTCCCCAAATTTCTTTGTCACCAATTTTCCAATCATGCTTCTTCCAAGTCCCTGACCCTCCAGCCAAACCATTGGCTACAGCCTATGAATCAGTATATAATCGCACATCTGGCTATTTCTCATTCCATGCAAACTGCACAACCAGGTGAACTGCTCACTAGGAAGATTTCCTTTCACTGCTGCCCTTCAGGGATGTCCTAGAAAGGGGCTGTAGTGCTGCAGCTGTCCACTTTTGGGTGGTGCCTCCATATCGTGCAGAACAATCTGTGAACAAGGCCCTATTCTTCTGTTCCTCTGTCAACTGATCATAGGGAACTCCTCATGAGGCCATCGGTGCAGGCTGAGGAAGAGAAAGCAGGGTGGCAGGAGTGGAGACCCTGGGCATCTGAGCCACTTCCTCATGTACCTTACTTGTGCCTTCGGGATCTGCTTGAGCCCGATCATGTACATGCCACTTCCATTTGATGATGGAATGCTGCTGTGCATGACCCACTTTATGGCTAGATTAGTCACAAAGCATCCAGTTCATGATAGGCAGTTCAGGTTGCATGGTGACTTGATGACCCATAGTCAAATGTTCAGTTTCTACCAAAGCCCAGTAACAGGCTAAGAGCTGTCTCTCAAAAGGAGAGTAGTTATCTGCAGAAGATGGCAGGGCCTTGCTCCAAAATCCTGGAGGCCTCTGCTGTGATTCAACTATGTGGGCCTGCCAAAGGCTCCAACAGCATCCCTATCTACCACTGACACCTCAAACATCATTGGGTTTGCTGGGTCATATAGCCCAAAGGGCAGAGCAGCTTGCACAGCAGCCTGGACATGTTGCAGAGCCTTCTCCTGTTCTGTACCCTACCCAAAACTGGCAGCCTTTCAGGTCACTTGATAAATGGGCCGGAGTAACATACCCAAATGAGGAATGTGTTGCCTCCAAAATCCAAATCGGCCCACTAGGCATTGTGCCTCTTTCTTGGTTGTAGGAGGAGCCAAATGCAGCAACTTATTCTTCACCTTAGAAGGAATATCTTGGCAGGTCCCACACCATTGGACCCCTAGAATTTTACTGAGGTAGAAGGTCCCTGAATTTTAGTCAGATTTATTTCCTATCCTCTGGCACGCAAATGTCTCATCAATAAGTCCAGTGTGTTTGCTACTTTTTGCTCACCGGATCCAATCAGCACAATGTCATTAAGGTAATGGACCAGTGTGATATCTTGCAGAAGCGGAAAGTGATCAAGGTTTCTTTGAATCAGATTATGACACAAAGCTGGATTGTTGATATACCCCTGAGGCAGGACAGTAAACGCATATTGCTGGCCTTGCCAGCTGAAGGCAAATTGCTTCTTGTGGGCCTTATGGACAGGAATGGAGAAAAAGGCATTTGCCAAGTCAATGGCTGCATACCAGGTACCAGGAGATGTGTTAATTTGCTCAAGCAATGAAACCACATCTGGTGCAGCAGCTGCAGTTGGAGTCGTCACCACTTGGTTAAGCTTACAATAATCCACTGTCATTCTCCAAGATCTGTCTGTCTTCTGCACAGGCCATTTGGGAGAGTTGAATGGGGATGTGATTTGAATCACCACCCCTGTGTCTTTTAAGTTCTTCATGGTGGCACTAATCTCCTCTGTACCTCCAGGGATGTGACATTGTTGATTTACTATTTTTCCAGGTAAAGGCAGCTCCGATGGCTTCCATTTGGCCTATCCCACCATAATATCCCTCACTCTACCAGTCAGCATGCCAGTGTGGGGGTTCTGCCAGCTGCTAACTATTCCTATGCCAATTATGCATTAATTGGGGAAATTGCATTGGGGAAATGATGCATTAATTGGGAAAATTAATTGGGAAAATGCATTAAGTGGGGAAATGACCACAGGATGAGTCTGGGGATTCATTGTACCCATTGTAAGTCAGACCTGAGCTAAAACTCCATTAATTACCTGAACTCCATAAGCTCCTACTTTAACTGGAGGGCCACAATGATGTTTTGGGTTCCCTGGAATCAATGTCAGCTCAGAGCCAGTGTCCTGTATTCCTGAAATATCTAATCATTTTCCTCTCCCCAGTGCACAGTTACCCTGGTAAAAGGCTGGAGGTCTCCTCACAGAAGGATGGAAGAAGATTCACTGCATAAATTGTCAGTAATGTAGTGGGGTCCTTCTTCAAGGAGACCCAGCTTCCTTTTCATTCAAGGGGTTCTGGGTCTGTAAACTGGCTCAAGTCTGGAAATTGACTGAGGGGCCATGATTCTTTGTTTTTATGATTAAAATTAGTCTTTTGTCCATTGCACATAGAAGTTTTCTGCTTGTATAAATTAAGTAGGAATGAAGTAGGCTTCCTATCAATTTCATTCCTAGGAACACCATGATTAATTAGCCAATGCCAGAGCTCTGCATGAGTTGGACTATTATGACTGCCACTTTGCCTCTGCTGTCCATTATGGTAGCTACACTCACCTTGCCTTTGATGGTTGAATGCTGCCACTTGGCCCCTGACACCTCGGGATCCAATTATTCCCATTGTATTTAAATTTTATAGTTGAGTACTGTGATTCCCACTGTTAGCTCTGACATGCAGAGAAGAGCAATTACAGGGCTCTTCAAAGATGCAGGTGCTGCCCTCACAAACCTATTTCACAAGGCACTGGTCAAGGGTAAATCTTCTAGACCTTCCCAGTTGGGATGAGTAGGTCTAAACTGACTAATCCATTCCACCATCCCAATCTCCCTAAGCTTTTTAATTCCTTCCTCTACATTAAACCAAGGGAGATCAGACATTTCCAGCTTGCTCACAGTGGGCCACCTTTTAATCCATATTTCAGCTAACCAAGAAAATAAACTATTACGACCTTCTTTAACTCCCCGAGCTGCAACATTAAAAGCAGAGTCCTTACTTAATGGCCCAAATCAATAAATTCAGCCTTATCCAACTCTATGTTCCTTTCACCATTATCCCATACCTGTAATATCCATTCCCATGCCTGTTCTCCACATTTCTATTGATATAAATTAGAAAACTGAAACAGCTCTTTTTGAGTGTAGTGCACCTCCTCATGGGTCACACTCTCAACCTCACCTCTAGGGGACCGCTGGGACTTTAGTCTAGTCATAGGTCTAGAAGCAAACAGAGGTGTTAGGGGTGGCTCCTGAGGAGAATCAACATTATCTTGCCTGGCAACTGCTTCAGGGCAGGCCATCACTGTTGCCTCAGGCAGTGCAGGGTTTGTCTTCTCAGATAAAGGTGGAAAGGCTGATGACAGCATGGGCTGGGGAGGGGATGTTGCCAATACTAGGGACGGGGAAGCTGATTCTTCTAGCAAAAAAAGTTTCATCATAATTTACACACTTAGTGTCCCCAGCTTCATTAGGATCCTCCCACATATCCCCATTCCAAGTTGCAGGGTCTCATTCTTTTCTGATCAATGCCCTCACTTTAACAGTAGACACTTGGTGAGGCTGTGTATGCATCTTTCATCGCAGGTCAGCTACTCACATGATAGGAGCTTTTGTCTGTTTTTCCACAATTTCAGCTCTTTCTCTACAGGAGATAAGACTGTCACTCATGGGGCAATCTTAGCAGATTTGAGGCTCAGTATCTGCTTCTGAAGCTGGGAGACAGAATCCCTGAGTTCATTATCTTCTTTTATCACTTTGTCCACTGAACTTAGGAGCAACCAACCAGCTTCATTATGTTCCTTGGTTCTCTACATATGGTCAAAATTATTAGGTTAGAGTCACTAAACTTGCCTCTCAGGAGCAGTGAATAGTGTGAAATGCATTTATTTTGCGTTACTCTCTAAACAGTTCATGCCAGGGACTATCAGCATTCTCCACACTATTAGAAGTAGAGTCCTTAGCATTTTTGGGTCTAATCATATTAAGCAACCAACTCCAGAAACCCCTAAACTAACAAAAGAACTCCATCCTTAATATTCTGTTCCTCTAGAACCACTCCTGTTACCAAAATCTGTATTAGTCAGGTTTTCTAGAGGGACAGAACTAATAGAATATATATATATAGAATATATATATATATATATAGAATATATACATATAGAATATATATATAGAATATACATATAGAATATATATATAGAATATACATATAGAATATATATATAGAATATACATATAGAATATATATATAGAATATACATATAGAATATATATATAGAATATACATATAGAATATATATATAGAATATATATATAGAATATATATATAGAATATATATATAGAATATATATATAGAATATATATATAGAATATATATAGAATATATATATAGAATATATATATAGAATATATATAGAATATATATATAGAATATATATATAGAATATATATATAGAATATATATATAGAATATATATATATAGAATATATATATAGTATATATATATAGAATATGTATATAGAATATATATATATAGAATATATATGTATATAGAATATATATATAGAATATATATGTATATAGAATATATATATAGAATATATATGTATATAGAATATATATATATAGAATATATATGTATATAGAATATATATATAGAATATATATATACAGAATATATATATAGAATATATATAGAATATATATATAGAATATATGTATATAGAATATATATAGAATATATACATATAGAATATATATACTATATATATAGAATATATATAGTATATATATAGAATATATATATAGAATATATATAGAATATATATATAGAATATATATATAGAATATATATATAGAATATATATAGAATATATATATAGAATATATATATAGAATATATATATAGAATATACATATAGGATATATATATATAGGATATACATATAGGATATATATATAGGATATACATATAGGATATACATATAGGATATACATATAGTATATATATATAGGATATACATATAGGATATACATATAGGATATATATAGGATATACATATAGGATATATATATATAGGATATATATATAGGATATATATATAGGATATATATATAGGATATATACATAGGATATATATAGGATATATACATAGGATATATATATATAGGATATATACATAGGATATATATATAGGATATATACATAGGATATATATAGAATATATATAGGAGATATATATAGAATATATATAGGATATATATATAGAATATATATAGGATATATATAGGATATATATATAGAATATATATAGGATATATATAGGATATATATATAGGATATATATATAGGATATATATATGTAGGATATATATGTAGGATATATATATAGGATATATAGGATATATATAGGATATATATAGGATATATAGGATATATATATAGGATATATATAGAATATATAGAATATATATAGGATATATATAGAATATATAGAATATATATAGGATATATATATAGAATATATAGAATATATATCGGATATATAGAATATATATAGAATATATATATAGAATATATATATAGAATATATATAGAATATATATAGAATATATATATAGAATATATATAGAATATATATAGAATATATATATAGAATATATATATAGAATATATATAGAATATATATAGAATATATATATAGAATATATATAGAATATATATATAGAATATATATAGAATATATATATAGAATATATATAATATATATAGAATATATAGATAGAATATATATAATATATATAGAATATATAGAATATATATAGAATATATATAATATATATATAATATATATATAATATATATATAATATATATAGAATATATAGAATATATATAGAATATATCTATAGAATATATAGAATATATATAGAATATATATAGAATATATAGAATATATATAGAATATATATAGAATTTATAGAATATATATAGAATATATATAGAATATATAGAATATATATAGAATATATATAGAATATATATATAGAATATATATAGAATATATATAGAATATATATATAGAATATATATAGAATATATATATAGAATATATATATAGAATATATATATAGAATATATATATAGAATATATATATAGAATATATATAGAATATATATATAGAATGTATATAGAATGTATATAGAATATATATAGAATATATATATAGAATATATATAGAATATATATAGAATATATATAGAATATATAGAACATATATAGAATAGATATATAGAATATATAGAATAGATATATAGAATATATAGAATAGATATAGAATATATATATAGAATATATATAGAATATATATAGAGAATATATATATAGAATATATATATAGAATATATATATACACACACACACAAAATGTAAGTTAGTACGTTATATATATATTATTTTATATATAATATATATTATGTTAGTATTTAATATTAACAGAATAATATAATAATAGAATAATATATATTATAATATATATTATATATAAAACATATATAATATATAATATATATAAAACATATATAATATATAATATATATATATGCTTATTGAGTACTAACTTACACAATCACAGGGTCACATAATAGGCTGTCTGCAAGCTGAGGAGCAAGGAGAGCCAGCCTGAGTCCCAAAAGGGAAGAACTTGGAGTCCAATGTTCAAGGGCAGGAAGCATCCAGCATGGGAGAAAGATGTAGGCTGGGAGGCTAGGCCAGTGTCTCTCCTTTTCTTGTTTTTCTGTTTGCTTTATGTTAAATGGCAGCTGATTAGACTGTGCCCACCAGATTAAGGGTGGATCTGCCTTCCCCAGCCCACTGTCTCAAATGTTAATCTCTTTTGGCAACACCCTCATAGACACACCGAGGATCAATACTTTGTATCCTTCAATCCAAATCAAGTTGACACTTAGTATTAACCATGCACAAAAAACATTTGACAAACATTTTACAAAATCCAGCATTGCTTTATGATTAAAAGCTTCAACAAAGTTGGCATACAAGGAACATACCTGAAGGTAGTAAAAGCCATTTATGACAAACCTACAGGCAACATTATATTGAATGAGGGAAATTAGAAATCATTCCCCCGATAACTGAAACAAGGTAAGGATGTCCACTTTCACCACTTGTCTTCAACATTGTATTGAAAGTTCTAGCCAGAGCAATCAGACAAGAGAAAGAAATAAAGGGCATCCGAATTGGCAAAGAGAAAGTCAAACTGTTGCTGTTTGCTGATGATATGATTGTACAGCTAGAAAACCCTAAAGACTCATGTAGACCAATGAAACAGAATAGAGAACCCAGAAATAAAACCAAATACTTACAGTCAACTGATCTCTGACAAAGGAAATGAAAACATAAAGTGGGGAAATGACACCCTATTCAACAAATGTTGCTGGGATAATTGGCAACTCACATGTAGAAGAATGAAACTGGATCCTATGTCTCACCGTATACAAAAATTAACTCAAGATGGATCAAAGACTTAAATCTAAGACCTGAAACCATAAAAATTCTAGAAGATAACACTGAACAAAACCCTTCTAGACATTGGTTTAGGCAATGACTTCATGAGCAAGAACCCAAAAGCAAATGCAACAAAAACAAAAATAAATTCATGGGACCTAATTCAGCAAAAAAGCCTCCGCATAGCAAAAGAAATAATCAACAGAGTTAACAGACGACCCATAGAGAGGGAGAACATATACACAAACTATGCATTTGACAAAGGACTGATGTCCAGAATCTACAAGGAACTCAAACAAATCAGCAAGAGGAAAATGAATAATCCCATCAAAAAGAAGGCTAAGTACAGGAATAGAAAATTCTCAAAAGAGGATATACAAATGGCCAGCAAACATAAAAAAATGCTCAGCATCCCTAATTATCAGGGAAATGCCAGTGAAAACCACAATGCAATACCACCTTACTTCTGCAATAGTGGCCATAATTGAAAAATAAAAAAATAATAGGTGTTGGTGTGGATGTGGTAAAAAGGGAACACTTTTACACAGCTGGCAGGAATGTAAACTAGTACAATCACTATAGAAAACAGTATGGAGATTCCTTAGGGAACTAAAAGTAGATTTACAATTTTATCCAGCAATCCTACTACTGGGTATGTACCAGAGGAAAAGAAGTCATTATATGAAAAAGATACTTGCACACACATGTTTATAGCAGCACAATTCACAGTTGCAAAAATATGGAACCAGCCCAAATGTCCGTCAATCAATGAGTGGAAAATGAAAATGTGGTGTATATCGTGGAATACTGTGCAGCCATAAAAAGGATGAGTTTATGTCCTTTGTAGGGACATGGATGAAGCTGGAAACCATCATTCTGAGCAAACTATCACAAGGACAGAAAACTGAACGCCGCATATTCTCACTCATAGGTGGGAATTGAACAATGAGAACACCTGGACACGGGGTGGAGAACATCACACACTGGGGCCTGTCGTGGGGTTGGGGGAGGGAAGAGGGGGGAGGGAAAGCATTAGGAGAAATACCTAATGTAAATGAAGAGTTAATGGGTGCAGAACACCAACATGGCACATGTATACATATGTAACAAACCTGCACGTTGTGCACATGTACCCTAGAGCCTAAAGTATAATTAAAAAAAACAACAACAAAAAAACAAAAAAACCAACAATCTATTGATAGATACATCCAAGAATGTAAATGAATCCTTGAATCTTTAGGGAATCATGCTGAGTGAAAAAAAAAGCCAATATCAAAAGAACACATACTGCATGATTCCATTCATATCACTTTCTTGAAATGACAAGTTTAATAGAAGTAGAGAATATGTTAGTGGTTGCCAGGGGTTAGGCATGGAAGCGGGGAAAGGTCAGTGTGATTATAAAAGGGTAACATGAGGGCTCCTTGTGGTGGTAGAACTGTTCTGTGTCTTGACCATATCAATGTCAGTGTCCCTTGTGATATTATGCTGTAGTTTGTAACATGTCATTGAAGAATAATGGGTAAAGAATGTATGACATTTCTCTTTATTATTATTATTATTTTATTGGTAAGACACAGGGTCTTGCTGTGTTGCCCAGGTTGGTCTTGAGCTCCTGGTCTCAAGTGATCCTGCTCTCTCCACCTCCCAAAGTGCTGGGATTACAGGCGTGAGCCACCATGCCTGCCCTCTTTACTATTTCTTACAGTTACATGTGGATCTATGATTACCTCAAAATAAAAAGTGTAATTAAAAAAAAGAAAATGTGGTGTATATATATATATACCGTAGAATGCTACTCAGCCACAAAAAGAAGTGAAATAACGGCAATTGCAGCAGCCTGAATGACGTTGGAGGCCATTATTCTAAGAGAAGTAATTCAGGAATTGAAATCTAAATGTCATGTGTTCTCACTTATATGGGCATGCAAAGGCAAAAGAATGATATAATGAACGTTGGGGACTCAGAGGGTAGGGTCATAGGATGGTGCGGGAGAAAAGACTACACATTGGGTACATGTACACTCCTCAGATGATGGATGCACCAAAATCTCAGAAACCACCACAAAAGAACTTACCCATGTAACTAAAAACCACCCCCTCCCCGCAAATCAAGTTTATCTTTAAACTAGCAGGGTACATTCCTTGCTTGTCATGACCCATGGTCCTAGGATGTTGATAGCTAAGGAAGCAGTTTGGTAATACCTGCAAGGATAAACTCCTATGACAACAAAATGTCCAGATATCCCAATATCACAGAACAGTATGTGCTTTAAAACTGATTTTGTAACTGATAGAGGAGTTAAAAAGAAATTATTTAGGCAGATAGTGAGAGTAAAGAAGTCCTTGGTAAGGTTTTCCTTTTAATGAAAAGCAGCCCCCAAATCATTTTCTTTCTAACAAAGAGCAGCCTGTAAAATTGAGCTGCAGACATAGACAAGCAAGCTGGAAGCTTGCCTGAGTGAATGCCAGCAGTTGTGCCAATAGGAAAAGGCTACCTGGGACTAGGCATGTTCAAATGGCGGCTCCATCTTCACTTTTCCTTTCCAACCACGTGTGCAGCAGGGAGCAGACAACATGGTGTCAGCCAAGTGGAAAGCCTATTTGCATAAGAAGATTAGGGTGGGGTGGTCAGCTTCCCCATGCACTATGTAAACATCACACCTGGTCCAACCAATCTGTGGGCCCTGTGCAAATCAGACACCTCTTTCAGCCTGTGTATAAAATCCAGTGCACTCTGCCATGGGCTGGAATTCCCACTTGCGTGCCCCTTCTCTCACAGGAGAGAGAGCTATTCTTCTTTCTCTTTCTTTTCTTTTGCCTATTAAACCTCTACTCCTAAACTCACTCCTTGTGTGTGTCTGTGTCCTTAATTTTCTTGGCATGAGGCAATGCATCTCAGGTATCACCCCAGACAAAGGTGCTGCTTTATTTTTGGTGCTCATTCAGGATCCCAAGGTACATTCATCAGAATGGTGAGTACAGGAGCAGACCTCCACTCTGTTTTTTTATTTTGAGGCTCTTGGCCTCCATTTTTAGAATCAAATCAAACCAAATACTGGGTCCCCTTCAGCCATTTAAAAATGATTAGTGTGGCTCCCAGCATTACAAGACGGGAGACAGGCTTCCTGGGGAGAACATGGAGAATCCCCCATTACCCATGGGTTGCTGGGCATATTGGCCGTGTTTGAACCAGTTTCCTTTCATGGAGGATCTAGCCATCACCTGGGGCTGGAAGAAGTCAGGGAGCAACTGAGGATTTCTGGATGGAGCTACCACGTGGCATTATGAAAGGCTTCTAGACTGACCCCAGCCTCCGAATGCCTGACTGGGTGTTGGCAACAGGATCTCTAACTTTCCTATCACGATTTCCTCCTTTCTTGTCCATGATTGCCATGTCTCCTATTCTTTCTCTGTATACAATGCTGCAGGAATTTTACAGTTCAGGGAAGTAATCCTGTTAGGCAAGATCAGGAAATGCTGTAGTAACCAGGGATATAGCTCAGGGGAATGTCATTGTGATTTTCTAGGAACACATCCCCCCTACCCGCCACAGTGAGCATCTCTCTCTGCCCTTGGTCTGGAGTGCACATGGAGTTTCAAGGTCAACAGCACCAGCTAGCGGAATAGAAGTCCTATCCATGTGGCGCATTGTCAGTCCTTTGCCAAAAAACTCTAACTTACCAATTCTCCTCCCTTTTTGCATCCCTCTACTAGAAACTAGGTTTTATGCTGCTTCAGCTATATGTGTTTGTATAGTGTGTATATGTGAGTGTATGTGTGTGTGTATGTATGAAGAGAGACAGAATGAAGAGACTAAGATTTTTGACTGAACCATTCTAAAGTAACTTGCTAGACCCATGATATTTCACCACTAAACACCTCATCGTGCATCTCCTAAGAGTAAAAACCTACATTATCACACCAAAGAAAATAAACAATAATTCCATATTATCTAAAGTCCTTTCATATTCAAGTATCTTCACTTCTTCAATCTATTCTTTGTACATTTTTATAACTTGGTTCCATAAAATATCCACTCATTGCCTTTGATTATGTGTCCTTTAGTTACCTGTAATCTACAACAATCCACTAATCCTTTTTTCTTTTAGAACAGCATTACTTATTGCAGGCCAAATAACTTTAGCATGCTCTCCACACCGAATTTATCATATTATTTCCCCTGATGCCTTTTACTTTGCTCTTCTCTCTGCTGTGTTTCCTAAAGACCGAGGCAGATCTGGGTTAAACATTTGGCAACAATATTTCCAGGAGGGGCTGTCACCTGCACTTTCATTACATTGACAGGCACACGAGGCTCTTCAGGGCTCTTTCTGACACCATAATAGCCAAATTCATTCTGATTTCCTAGAGATGCATACACCAGGGCTGGGAATGCAGTGGGTACAAGTACGATTTTCTGGCAATAGGAGATCCTGCCACTCTCCCCATTCCTCATGTGCCTCATCAGGCCAGGTCCCTCCAGGCCTGAACTCCCTTTGCCTGTTTCCCAGCCCCACTCCGTTTTGTGTCTGTCTCCTCTTCCCTTCCCCTGTCCAAGCCCAGCTCCTGAGTGTCTCTACCTCTCAAACTAGTGTTCTCATCCAGGGGAGATTTTCCCACCAGAGGACAGGAGCTATGTCTGGAGAAATTTTTTGTTGCCATAACTGCAACAGTCCATGATCCTCTGCACTAGGCAGAGGGTAGAGATTGAGGGAGGCCCTCACTCCAAATCTTCTATCACTGCTAATGAAGTACTAAAAAGAGGTACAAAGCACTGTATCCCCTCTGGGGACCTGGCAGAAAAGCAGGGTCTCCACAACGTCAAATTCTATAGAAAAACATACCATTTTGGCAAAATACCCAAGTCACATTTCTAAGCCCCAGGCTGCAGCTCAAATACAAACAATATCAAAAACCCAAAACCTTAGTCAAGCTAAAATCATTGAAGCTGGCTGCAAGGGTTTGTGAGACCTGTAGTTAGAGGGAAGGACAACTTAATTTAGAACTGCAGCAGAAGAACGGCATCATGTGGTCCCCTGAATGAACCCTCTCCTTTCAGCAGGAAATTGTGAGGACATTTTTTTGGGGGAAAAAGTAGAATCTTGTTAAATTTCTGAGGTCTACACTTACTACTTATTTGTTGACTTTGTAGATGTCAACTTCACTTTGAACATCCTGCAATTCACTTTTTTACTGTAAGTGGAGAGAATCTGAACTTGTTTCTGAAGCAGGAAACCAGGGACTGGTTATGTGAGCTATCAACCCACCCTGTGGCTGGCTCCCTTATGCAGTAAGCATGACAGATTGTGGGCCAACAAAATTTGTAGCAAGGAAAACCGTAAACCCTCCATTTCAGTCTATGTTTCAGCTTGTCTAGTAATGATCTAGCCTTGCCTCACTCTTAACATTTTAAAGTTTATAATTCTACTTGATATTGATTTTATAAGAATTCATGTATTTTCATTTCTGTTGTGTTTGTCACTGGAAGCCTCCTCAAAACAACTGTGGAGTAAAGAAAAGTAAATAAATGCATGGTGTACTAGTGCTCAATGCATTTTGCAAATGTGTCAGCCTCACTTCCACAGATGGTGCTGCAACAAGTGGTGCTGAGAAACTGGATATCCGCATGCAAAAGAATGATGTTGGACACAATTCATAGCCTTCCCTACACCATACTCAACAATTAACTCAGAATGTATCAAACAACGAAGCTTAAGAGTCAAACCTGTAAAACCCTTAGAAGAAAACATTGAGGAAAGTCTTGTGAACATTGGATTTGGTAGTAGTTTCTTGGCTGGATGACCCAAAGCATGAGCAATTAAAGAAAAATGATAAATTAGACTTTATCAGATTTAAAAACTTTTTTGCAACAAGTGACATTATTAAAAGAGTGGAAAGAAAATGCACAGAATGGGAGGAGCTATTTGCCAATCATACATCTGATGAAGAATTAATATTCAAAATACATAAAAAAACTACAACTCATCCATTAAAAAAACAACGCCATTCAAAAATGGGTAATGGACATGAAGAGACATTCACGCCGCTGTCCATCACCCACACAACAGGTAGAGTAAACCTTTCAAACGGGAATTAGAGCACATCATCACCACCACATCCCAAAGCCACTCTAGCTTCTTCCCCTCTTAGTGCAATGAAACCCCAATGTCTCACCATTTCCTACAAGCCCCTCAACACAGGGCCCCTCTGTCAACTCTGGGCTCATCCCACTCCTCTCAGCCCAGCTCACTTGTCTCCACTCACACCAGCCTCTTGTCACTGCTCTGCCCTATTTCTGCCACCTACCCATGCTCTGACTCCCACATGTACCTGCTCCCCAGGGATTCACATGACTCACTCCTCACACGATTCAGGTCTCTTCTCAGATAACCAGTGGTCAAGTTCTCAGAAACGTCTTGCTCAATCACCTTGTCTAAACTATGTCCCTGCTATTCCCACCATCACCAATCTTCTGGCCTAGGCATATTTTTCTCAATGGCAATTAGTGGTAATACTAGGTTTTATTTGCTTACTGTCCATTGGTATATTAGGGTTCTCCAGAGAAACCCAACCAACTGGATAGATAGATAGATGGACCATAGAGAGAAGGAAAGCACCACAGTCACTGAAGTAAGGGCCCTCATGGAAGAGGTGTGACAGGAAAGGTCTGCTGTCCCAGGGCCACCATATATAGGAGTGACTCCCATCCTGGGCAGGACCTTTCTTTCTTTTGTATTCACAGTAGTTCTGAAATTGCAGGATGCTGAAACCCAGCACCGGCCAGTTATACTGTTTCTTTCTTTACCATTAAATGCTGTGCCAAAGAGCACCTTAATACATTTCTTTCCTCTTCCTGGAGAGAGGCAAAATGATAGTAGATATGTTGAAACACACAAATGTACTTTAAGCACGTGCTTTCAGGAAAAGCTACTAGAAGATTAGTTGCACCAAAATGAGGGGGGATACAAAAGTGAAAAGAAAGATTGCATATCCATATTCATAATGGTGTTATTCACAACAGGCAAGATATGGAAGCAACCTATATGTTTACCAACAGATGAATAGATCAAGAAAATATGATTATATACAGACAATGGAATATTATTCAACATTTAAAAGAAGAAAATCTTGCTATATGCTACAACGTATATGAACCTTAAAGTCATTGCTAAGTGAAATATGCCAATCAAAAAAAAAAAAAAAACTCCAAGTACTGCATAATTCCATTTACATGAGGTGTCTAAAACAGTCAAACTTGATGAATGTGAAGGTAGAATGGTGGCTGCCAGGTAAAACTTCCAGGTAATAAGGATTTTTGTGAAAGGGGCACAGAGTTTCAGCTTTCAAGGTGAAATATTCTAAAGATCGGTTGCACTACACTGTGCTTACAATTAACACTATTATAGTACAGTATATTTTAATTTAATTTTTTTTTTTTGGCTGGAGACAGGGTCTCACTACTTTCCCCAAGCCTGACTTGAACTGTAGGCCTCCAGTGATCCTCCTGCCTTAGCCTCCCAAATTGCTGGGATTACAGGCATGAGCCACCACACCTGGCCAATGGTACTGTATTCTTAAAAATAGTTATGATAGTAAATTTTATGTGTATTTTTTGCCACAATGAAAAAATGCTCAGCCCTCTTACTAATTTAGAAAGAAACTGCATCAGTTAATTAAAAATATATTAGGATGTGGCCTGTGGTCCTGACTACCTAGGAAGATGAGGTAGGAGGGTCACTTGAGCCTATGAGGTTGAGCCTGTAGTAAGCCATGATGGCACCACTGCACTCCAGCCTGGCTGACAGAGCAAAATTCCCTTTCTCTCTCTCTCTCTCTACACACACACACACACACGAACCAGGAGAATCAGCATCTCATGAAACTAGACAGAAAGGCTCATATGCCTCAGCCTTGACATCTTGAATCAGTCTGCATTTTGGCTGGACCCCAGGTGGCTCCACTGCATGTAAAGCACTGCCCCAGATGGCGGTGGAGGGAGATCCTAGGACAGTGACTCTGCTCCACAGGGAGAAGCCTCCAGTCCAGATGGGAGCAGCGAGAAGGGCCCAGGAGGGACATTTCCAAGAAGGTAAAGTGGAATATCCAAAGTCTGTAATTTCTTAAAAGAGTAATACGGCTGGGTGCAGTGGCTTACCTCTGTAATCCCAGCACTTTGGGAAGCCGAGGCGGGTGAATCACCTGAGGTCAGGAGTTCGAGACCAGCCTGACCAATACGGAGAAACTGTCTCTACTAAAAATACAAAATTAGCCGGGTGTGGTGGTGCATGCCTGTAATCCCAGCTATTCGGGAGGCTGAGGCAGGAGAATCCCTTGAACCTGGGAGGTGGAGGTTGTGGTGAGCCAAGATTGTGCCATTGCATTCCAGCCTGGGCAACAAGAGCGAGACTCCATCTCAAAAAAAAAAAAAAAGGCCAGGCGCGATGTCTCACGCCTGTAATCCCAGCACTTTCAGAGGCTGAGGTGGGTGGATCACGAGGTCAAGAGATCGACATCATTGTGGACAACATGGTGAAACGCCGTCTCTACTAAAAATACAAAAATTAGCTGGGCATGGTGGTGAGTGCCTGTAATCCCAGCTACTCGGGAAGCTGAGGCAGGAGAATTGCTTGAACCTGGGAGGCGGAGGTTGTGGTGAGCCAAGATCACACCACTGCACTCCAGCCTGGACAACAGAGTGAGACTCCATCCCAAAAAAAGGAGTAATACAAATAGAAGAAATATCAACGTTAATGAGTGCTATTTATAAAATAAACAAAAACAAAGGCAAGTATTAACTACAGGAAGAACAAATGTTCAGGAAGTGAAAAGTGGTCAAGCTGACATATGAGAAAATTAGTCATGGAAAAGGAAACAAGGAACGACTGAACCAAACATAATTACTACAGAAATACATCGGGAAGATGAAAGAATGGGAAGAGTGAAAGGGAACAGGTACAATTAACTATTGCATTCACCACTGTGCTGTGCAACAGATAATGACTGCAACGGAAAAATCAAGCAGTATTAATGAAGGAATTGTATTTAGACATATGGAAGTAAAAGTTGAAAGACTTAGCTAAAAATGTTGAAAATGGTTGCCTCTAGGAAGGCAGAAATTGAGAAGATGCAGAGAGGACTCATTTCTCTAGAGAAATCCTATGCAAATATTTGACTTTTAAAATCATGGACAATTAAATTTTGATTATAAAAACTTCAATGAATATGAAAATTTATACCTAATGAGAACAGAATTCAACAAGTGACACTTGCTAACTAAAATAAACAAGACTAATAAATACACAACATAAATGCATGAATGTGTAAATGACATCAACCTGAAAACATAAAAGAAAATGTCAACGAACACATCTCTGGATCAGTAAGTAGCACATGAGTGAATTCCCTACTCCAGCTCCCTTACTGGTTGCTTTGTGAACCAGGCAGTGGGAGGAAACAGGGCCCAGCCAGGGTCCCTCGTCCTTCTCTTGCTTCCAGGCAGGTCCTGCATCCACTCCTGCTGCAAGAAGGGCTCCCATCCCTGCCTTGGGTCTTTTTCACAGGTGTCACCCTTACACTCTCTGCCATGACCACCTTACGTGGGTGGGGCTGAGGTTGCCTTGACCAAGAAGTGCATCACCCATCTGTGTGCCCCAACACCAGCAGTCAGGAGGCATCAAGAAATAGGGTGAGGAATAACCCACCTCTTGCATGTCCACTTTCCTGGTTCATTTATTCTTCATTCATTCAGTCCACACCTCCCCAGCAGTCACTTTACGCCAGAACCTGACTGACTGGGATTCTTCAAAATCAGAAAACCTCCAAGCACTCTCTATCCCCTCCCGAATATCACACTTCAGCTCTGTGTCATCACATGAAGGCTCCAACTCTTCAGGGCAGATGTTCCCCCACAGGGTCAGCCCCTGAAGGTCAGTGCCAGATGTCCCACCTCCATCCCTTCCCAGTCCTTTCTGTTCTGCTGTGAATCTGTCAGTCATCAGGAGCTAGCAGGGAAAGGGGACAAGGAGGGGAGATTGTCTTCATGCCGTGCCAAGGCATTGAGACAGACCTCTCTTTCTCCCTGAACCTCACACTTTATCCGCTCCCAGACACATGAAATAAAACAGACTAGAAGTGTCTGTTTAAAGAGTAAACATCTATGGTATAAAATTACACACCCATAACAGTAGACATAGAGTAATGCGTAAGAGTGTGATGGGGCGAGGGGACCTCAAGGTGACAAGAAAGCTGGTCCTGGGCTGGTCAGGAGGAGTCATCTCCAAGACACTCACTCACAAAGCTCACCGATGATAATCCAATTACAACACACGTAATATATTAAAATATCTTAAAATATAATAAAATAGGCCAGACATGGTGGATGATATAATAAAATAAAATAAATTAAAATGTAATAAAATAGGCCGGGTATGGTGGCTCATGCTTGTAATCCCAGCACTTTGGGAGGCTGAGGCAGGCAGATCACCTGAGGTCAGGAGTTTGAGACCAGCCTGGCCAACATGGCAAAATCCTGTCTCTATGAAAAATGCAAAAATTAGCCGGGTATGGTGGTGCATGTCTGTAACCCCAGCTACTCGGGAGGCTGAGGCAAGAGAAGTGCTTGAACCCGGGAGGCGGAGGCTGCAACGAGCTGAGATCATGTCACTGAACTGCAGCCTGGGTGACAGAGTGAGACTCTGTCTTTTTTTTTTTTTTTTTTTGAGACAGAGTCTCGCTCTGTCGCCAGGCTGGAGTGCAGTGGTGTGATCTCAGCTCACTGCAACCTCCACCTCCCAGGTTCAAGTGATTTTCCTGCCTCAGCTCCTGAGTAGCTGGGACTACAGGCACACGCCACCAGGCCCAGCTAATTTTTTGTATTTTTAGTAGAGACAGGGTTTCACCATGTTGATCAGGATGGTCTCGATCTCTTGACCTTGTGATCCGCCCGCCTCGGCCTCCCAAAGTGTTGGGATTACAGGCGTGAGCCACCGTGCCTGGCCTGAGACTCTGTCTTAAAAAAAAAAAATAATAATACGAAAACAACAAAAACAATGACACCAATTAATATGGCACAGCTGCAAATGCCTCATATCTACTAACATTTTGCAGCCTCCAACAACAATAAATAAGTGCTTTTATTTTCTCTGTTTCATAGGTCAGGAAACTGAGGCACCAAGAGGGAAAGTGCTTGTGAGATCCAGGCAGGGAATTCAATTCCAGCCGCCTGGCTGTAGAGTCTAGGTGCCCTCAGTGGAGCCAGTGGACCCAAGAGCTGACATCAGAGGCTGAAATCCGAGCTGTGTGGCATCCCTGTGGTCACTCGTCCCAACTGGGTGTTGATCCAGGACCTGCAGGCTCACGAGCTCTGGAGAAAAGAGGGAAATGGGTAAATGCTCCACTGGGTGCAGTGTTGTGTTTATTCCCTGGGGACTTTTCACTCTTCAGTTGCTCCAAAACCAGATTTGCCCTTTCTCTGAGGGAAGATGAGGCCCCCACTTTTTTCTTCCTCCCTCCTTGCTTTTCCCAGCCCCTGCCAGTTCCCTCCCATCACTCCATCAACATCAGCCCGTGCCCTGTGCCCACCACTCATCGTGCAGGGAGGGAAAGGGCCCCAAGACTAAAGGACAAGACCCAAGAGGGAACCCAGTGCCCTCCTCTCAGGCCTGACCAGTCCTGTTACAGTGAGAGGCCTCCCCAAAGAGAGGCCCTGACCCTTGCTCTCAGTCCCCAGGCCCTCCTCTCCTGCAGAGGCACCTACACACCAGGGCAGGCCCTGCCCACTGTGGGCTCTGCCCTCTATCTGCAGCTCAGTGCTCCTCCCCTCCCAGCCCTGAGCAGGCAGCTCCTAACTGGGGACCCCATCAGGAAGCCTGGGGGGCCCAGCAGGCCCAGCATGGAAAGACGTGGCTGCCACAGGATCTGCACCTGACCTGACCCTGGGACCCCCACCTTGCTCGAGGAGGCCTGGCCTCTCCTGACCCTCACAACCCAAGCCTGTGACCTGCTCTTGAGTAACCGCTACTCCTGCCTGGTCCGCTTAACCCTGGAAACGCAGCTCCACCCCAGGGCTGCTGCTTGGTGAGGCTGCGAGGCCTTCCTGCTCTGTCCCTAGCAGGGATTCCACCCGGCCACTGCCCTTGCAACCTACAAGGGATTTTCTCCATGTGGAGTAGGGGAGACCCCTTAGCCTGAGGCTGCCTCTGCCCACCCTCTGCACCTGGGAACTGCCACTGCCACAGCCACCATCTCCACACAGAACCTCCTGGAGAGGGGGCTCCAAATTTGAGTTCCTGTTTCATTTAATATGCTTTACAGTATTAGGAAATCCTATTAAGATTGCAGAGCTGAAATTATGAAAATCTTTATTGGACATCGCAGGAATTTTGAGAAATTTGTGTTCCTGTTTCATATAATATGCTTCACAATATTAGAGGAAATCCTATTAAGATTATAGAGCTGAAATTACGAATATCTTTACTGGACATCAACATTGAAAGCAGGAATTTTGAGAAACTGGCACATGAACTTCATACTCTTTTCCTGGCCAAAACTCCAGTGACCTATGAGGAAACCATTCCTGCCCACAGGGAACCAGAACTGACAATCCCTCTACGGGAGACGCCACAGGTGAGAGCAGGAGTGACCACAGACCTGCACTGCCCCTGTTGTGGGTGCCTCCTGGACAGGGCCCTCTTGCTGCAGGGCAGGGGACAAACCTTCCCATCTGCTCAGGCCTGAGGGGCCGATTGACAGTGCAATTAGGTTCAAGGATGAGAAACCAGCGACCCTACTGCCAGACACATCCTCCTGGACACCCCAGCCTCTTACTGTCGCCTGAACTGCTTCTGTCTTTGCAGAAACACAAAACTTCCTGCTGTCTCTTTTCATCCCCCATCAAACAACCTGACTGTAGGGGAAATGATTCTGACCGTCCCTTACTCCAAACTTACCAGGCAGTGACCACCTTTAGAAAGGGAAATTGGCTCAGGGAGGGCAAGGTGAGGCCACAGAGCACAGATTAAATCCCCAAAAACATGGGCCCTGAGGACTGTGTCCCTCAGGGACTGGAGAAGAAAACACTCGGAGGTAGGATGAAAACAGGGACCACAGCTGCCCTGATGAGGGGCTGGGCCCCACTCCTCAAATGGCCCAGGGACATCTGCTTATCTACTCATCCATGTCATCTGCAAGAAACTCAGGGAGGCCAGGCCGTGGGAACCTGGAAAGAGTAGGGCCTCGAATGGTGCAGAGGACACGACAACCCCAAGAAAGCTCCTGGAGGAGGTGCATGGGGAGCTGCAAAGTGGACAGAGATGGCCATGTGTGCTCAGGACCCTCCCTGTTACAAGGGGTCTCCAAAGGGCTACACAGGCAGGGCCCCCAGGCTGGGCCTCATAGGTCTTTTTCTCGGTGTCCGCCCCGATGGCTGGAGAAACAGGGGAGGGGGATGCAGAGAGGAAGGGAATAGGGGCACCGCCTCTCCTCAGATTCCTCTCCAGTTTCTGGCCCTCCCCAGATCACAGCTGCCTTTACTATTTGCTCCCTCTGAGGCCGTGATCATCCAGGCCCTTAGCATTCAGCACGTGATTCCCAGCTCACCCCACCTGGATGCGCCCTAGTGAGTTCAAGAGACACAGAGACCGGGATGGGGACAGAGCAGGCGCCGCAGCCCTCCCTGCTGCCCACTCCTCACCTGCAGCAGGAGGATGCCACAGCTGGGCGTTTGACCCTTGCTTGGGCAGCACTTATGGGTGTAGATGGAGATGCTGCCCCCATTCCCTTCCCAAATTCCCCAACTTTCATCCCCTGTTACGGAAGCCTTGTCACCAACATGCCTATCTTTGCAGGAGCAATGAGGGGACCCTACTGCCCAGACAGGGGCCTTACCATCTCCAGAAACTGCCCGCTTTTCTCACCTGGACCCTCTGCAGCTGATGTTTTCTTCTTACAACAACGGACATAGAAAATAATAATAACAAAAATAGCAGCAGCCAGCAGCAACAGCAGAAACATGGAATGTCTGCCAATGACTCTGAAGCACCAGCACTTTCCCTGAAAAAAAGGGACTTGTTATACACTGGGCAGAGAGCCACAGCCATCCCTGCTGTCCCTACCCTGGCCTGACCCTCTCCAGGGTCACCCTAGGCTCACCAGAGGGCACAGGGTGAGTGCTGTGATTCCCGCTGTGTTCCATGTAGCAGGTGAACCTCTGCTCCTCTCCTCGGCAAATCCTGGTGGCCACCCAGGTCTGGTAGGTTCCATTCCCATCAGGCAGGACATCCCCCCACTGCTGGGTGTCGTGGCTCAAAGATACCCCATCCTGACGCCAGGTCAGTATGATATTCCGGGGATAGAAGCTGGAAGCCCTGCATGTCACGGTGATGTTGCCCTCTGAGGCCTCGCTGCGGGTGACATTCACCATGGGGGGCACTGGAGAAGAAAGGGCAGAGCCAGTGAAGCCCTGCTCCCCTCTAAGGAGGGGAGAGGAACAGGGCTGTTTCTCTTCACTGTTCTCACTCTGGCTGAAGCCCTCCGGGACCCCTGACCTGCAAGTCTGTCCTCACTCTGGGGCCCAGTTCTTCCAGGCTGGCAGGAGGATGGGCCTTGGGACTGTGGCCTCAGGCTCTGGGATCCCCACATTGATGCTGAGGAGGGGGATGTCAGGGGTGGACTCCTGGGTTGTGGGGCCAGGAGGGAACTCTCCAGGATGGGCAGGCTGGGAGGCAGAGGGGGCAGCCCTGGCCCTGAAGGCTTCCTCTCCTGCCTGACACCCACCACAGGCTCAGGATTCTGTCGGAGGGTCCTCTACTTGCCCTGATTACAACACTGGATGGTCCAGTCCCTGACCCTCTGTCTTTATCCAGTGGCTCTAACAATAGAGGAAAATCAGGACACGATGTGCCAACAGGAAATGCCTTCATCCATAGCACAGGGAGGGTTTCCCTGGACACATCTGGGAGGTGAGGCAACTCTAGCAGAATTGGAGGGAGAGGAGAGCCCCTGGCCAGCGTCGGTACCTGTTCTCCTCAGGACTACGCCGGATTCTAGATATCGCCGTAGTTCCTGCAGGCAGTCTGCATGCATAGCGTGATAGTGTGTCTTGGTCTTCATGGCATCTTCCTTCAAGAAATTCCTGACGTTCATGGCCAAGGTCTGAGCTCTGGAGGACTGGGGCACTGTCCATTCCTCAGTCTCCAGGTTTTGGGAGAGGAAGAGCTCCCCATCGTAGTAGAAATGCTGGGAGCTCCTGGTGCTGTTGTCTTCATGGATCTCACAGACCCTAATCTCCTGGAGGGAATGCAAGCCTGCCCCCACCCAGCAGTGACTTCTCCATTCCCGAACCCATCACCTTTCCACCCAAGTGAGGAACTCAGCCCAGGGGGTATGCCTCCCTGGCCCTCCTCCATGCCTCCCTGTGTGGGCTGAGTGCCGGCTCACCTCCCTGCTGAGTTCCACTGACCCCCATTCCTCACCCCCAGCCTGAGCCAGATCCAGTGGGAAGAGACAGGTCCCTGCTCTCTGCCCCTAACTTTTCTGGAAAAGGCCTCTCCAGTCACTCTTGCCCCTGCCGACTCTCACCTTCTTTCTGGTCCTTGATATGAGCCAGGGTCATCCTGAGGTCCTTTCCGTTCCCTGTCAAGTCCCTGGTCTCTCTGTCCCATGTCTTATTTCCCAGGACATCTTCTGCCCACTGTCCCTGGGGCTTTGCCCTGCATTTCTGCCTGTCATAGCGCAGGAAGGGCTGACCATCCAGATGTACCTCAGCAAGAAACCCTGACTGCACAGATCCATCCCAGGACAGCACCGTGAGGTTATAACGAAGACTGTGGGGCTCTGGGGAAGAGGAAATCACAGGTGAAACTTCTTCCTGGAAGTAACTTCACATTGATGTTTAACACACAGGTCTGCTGTCCCAACCTTCCTGGGGCAGGAAATGCACACGGGCAAAGGGACAAGAACGAGGATTTCATATACAAAGAAAACTGTGAGGGTGGGAGGATAGAGGAGGGGGCTGATGAACAGAAGAAGGGGGAATGAAGATGGCAAACTTGTAGGCCAGGTGCAAGGACTGGGTGGCCACAAGCCCCCTAAGGGAATAGGGGCCAAGGGGAGAGGCTGCCCTGCAGGGGCAAGGGAGGAGCATGAAGGTGGTGGAAGGAAGGTCTTGCCAGAGGGGATGGTGGGAATGGGAAGGGACTCAGGCTCAGAGGGACCCATGTCCAGTGTGGCTGTGGTGCATAGGCTGAGGGTGAGATGGAGGCAAGGGGAGCTGCCTCGAGAAGAGACTCATCATGGGCATGGCGGGGACAAGGGAGGGGGTGGTCATGAGGCACAAAGGGTAGGAAGGTTGTAGCCCCAGAGAAGTTTATAGTGGGGTCAGTATCCCAGAGGGGAGCAACGAACGGTGTGGGCTTGGGTTCAAAGTGGAAGAGTAGCATGACAAGGCCCCAGGACAGCAATTGGATGGAACAGCTAGTGTCCACTGGGGTGAGCAGGTGACAAAGAGTCAGTTGATCTTTTCAGCAAATAGTTCTGGGGGCAGGGGGTGTTAAAATAAAATTGGACCCTTAATTTGCACTATATACAAAAATTAACTCAAAATGAATCAAAGACCTAAACTCTACACTCAAGAACTAAAACCTAAAAATTTCTTAGAAGCAAACATTGGGGATAATGTTCATGACATAGGATTTGACAGTGCTTTCATGGATATGACACCAAAGCACAGATAGAATAGAAAGAACTGACAAAGTAGACTGATGAAAATTCAAAACATCTATGCATCAAAGGGCACAATCAGAGTGAAAAAGCAATCAACCCCGAAATGAAATAAATATTGCAAGTCATATATCTGATAAGAGAAGCTATGTGGGGGAAAAAATGGGCAAAAGACTTAAATGGCCAATTCTTCAAAGAAAATTACAAATGATCAACAAACACATGAAAAGATGCTCAATATCAGCACTCATTAGGAAAATGCAAATCCAAACCACAATGAGATGCCACCTGAAACCAATCAGGATGGCTGTTATCACACACCTACACACACACATACACACACACACAGAGCAAGGTTGGCAAAGAGACAGAGAAAATGAAGCCCCTGTGTACTGCTTCTATTTCTGGATATATACCCAAAAGAAATACCCAAAGGAAATAAATATATACCCAAAGGAAATGAAATATTTGCCAATATCCAAAAGGTAGAAGTAACCCAAGTGTCCATTGTCTGAGGGATGGATAACCAAGATGTGGTACATACATATAATGAGTATTATCCATCCTTAAAAGGAATGAAATTCTGACCCATACTACAACTTGGATGAACCTCAAAAATATTATTATTATTATTGTTTTATTTTTTTTTTTTGGAGATGGAATTTCACTCTTGTTGCCCAGGCTGGAGTGCAGTGGCCTGATCTCAGCTCACTGCAACCTCCACTTCCCGGATTCAAGCGATTCTCCTGCCTCAGCCTCCCAAGTAGTTGGGATTACAGGCACCCGCCATCACGCCCGGCTAACTTTTATTATTTTTAGTAGAGATGGGGTTTCACCATGTTGGCCAGGCTGGTTTCGAACTCCGAAACTCAGGTGATCCACCTGCTTCAGCCTCCCAAAGTGCTGGAAATCCAGGCGTGAGCCACTGTGCCCACCGAACCTCAAAAATATTATAAGTGAAATAAGCCAGAAACAAAAAGACAAACATTACATGATTCTGCTTAAATGAGGTACCTAGAGTGGTCAAATTCATAGAAACAAAAAGTAGAATGGTGGTTACCAGGGGCCAGAGGTAGGGAGGAATGGGGAGTTACCGATTAATGGGCACAGAGTTTTGGGTTGCACAAAAATGTGAATGTATCTAATGCCACCGAGTATACACTTAAAAGTGGTTAAAACAGTAAAATTTATGTAATGTATAATTTACCACAATTAAACTTTTAAAGAACAACATATGTCAGTCCTATTCAAACTGTTCTGAAAAATAGAGGAGGAGGGAATACTTCCAAACTCATTTTACAAAGCCAGGAATATCCTGATACAAAAACCAGGCAAAGACACATCATAAAAAAGAAAACTACAGGCCTATATCCCTGATGAACACCGATGCAAAAATCGTCAAGGAAATACTAGCAAACCACATTCAACAATACATTAAAAAAGATCATTCTTTATGAGCAAGTGGAATGTATTCCAGGTATGCAAGGATGATTTAACATACACAAATCAATCAATGTAATACGTCATATCAACAGAATAAAGGACAAAAGCCAGTATCATTCAATTGATACTGAAAAAGCATTTGATAAATTCAACATCCCTTCATGATAAAAACTCTCAAAAAACTAAGTATACAAGGAACAGACCTCAATATAATAAAAGCCATATATGACAAACTCACAGCTAGTAACATACTGAATGGGGGAAAACTGAAAGCCTTTTCTCTAAGATCTGGAATAAGACAAGGATGACTAATTTTACCACAGTTATGCAACACAGTACTGCAGATCCTAACTAGAGCAATCAGACAGGAGAAAGAAAGAAAGGGCATTAAAACTGGAAAAGAAGAAGTCAAATTATCCTTGTTTGCAGATCATGTGGTCTGATATTTGGAAAAACCTAAAGACTCCACCAAAAAACCATTAGAACTGAAGAACAAATTCAGTAAAGTTGCAGGATACAAAATCAACATGCAAAAATCAGTGCTAACAGCAAATAATCTGAAAAAGAAATCAAGAAACGAATCCCATTTACAATAGCTACAAATAAAATAAAATACTGAGGAATAAACCTAACTGAAGAAGTGAAAGACCTCTCCAATAAAAACTATAAAACAGTGATGTGGCTGGGCGTGGTGGCTCATGCCTGTAATCCCAGCACTTTGGGAGGCCGAGGCAGGTGGATCACCTGAGGTCAGGAGTTCAAGACTAGCCTGGCCAACATAGAGAAACCCCATCTCTAATAAAAATAGAAAATTAGCCAGGCACAGTGGCACATGCCTGTAATCCCAGCTACTTGGGAGGCTGAGGCAGAAGAATAGCTTGAACCTGGGAGGCGGAGGTTGCGGTGAGCCAAGATCACACCCTTGCATTCTAGCCTGGGCAACAAGAGTGAAACTCCATCTCAAAAACCAAAAACAAAAAACACTGATGCAAAAAATTGAAGGACACAAAAAATGGAAAAGATAGTCCACGTTCATGGATTGGAAGAATCAGTTTTGTTGAAATATCCATACTACCCAAAGTAATCTACAGATTCAATGCAATCCCTATCAAAACACTAATGACATTCTTCACAGAAATAATAAAAATAATCCTAAAATGCATATGGAACCACAAAAAAACCAGAATAGATAAAGCTATCCTGAGCAAAATGAACAAAACTAGAGGAATCACATTATCTGACTTCAAATTATACTACAGAGCTACAGTAACCAAAACAGCATGATACTGGCATAAAAACAGACACACAGACCAATGAAACAGAATAGAGAACCCAGAAACAATTCCATACATCTACAGTAAACTCATTTCCAACAAAGGTACCAAGAACACACATTGGCAAAGGAGAGTCTCTTCAAAAATGGTGCTGGGGAAACTAGATATCCTTATGCAGAAGAATGAAACTAGACCCTGTCTTTCACCATATACAAAAATCAAATCAAAGTGGATTAAAGATGTAAATCTATGACCTCAAACTATGAAACTATACAAGAAAACATTGGGGAAACTCTCTAGGATATTGGACTGGGCAAAGATTTTTAAAGTAATACCCCACAAGCACAGGTAACCAAAGTAAAATTGCATAAATGGGATCATATCAAGTAAAAAGGCTTCTGCACAGCAAAGGAAACAATAAACAAAATGAAGAGACCATCCAAGAATGGGAGAAAATATTTTCAAACTATTCATCTGACAAAGGATCAGTAACTGAAACATATAAGGAGCTCGAACAACTATAGGAAAAAAAATATAATAATCCAATTTAAAAATGAGAAAAGATCTGAATAGTCATTTCTCAAAAGAAGACATATAAATGGCAAACAGGTATATGAAAAGGTGCTCAACATCATTCGTCAACAGATGAAGGCAAATCAAAACTCCTACGAGATAACATCCCACCCCAGATAAACTGGCTTTTATCCAGAAGACAGGCAATAAGGAATGCTGGCGAGGATGTAGAAATAAGGAATGCTGGTGAGGATGTACACTGTTGGTGGGAACGTAAACTAGTACAACCACTATGGGAAACAATGTGGAGGTTCTTCCAAAAACTAAAAATACAATAGAGCTGTCATATGCTCCAGCACTCCCACTGTTAGGCATATACTCCAAAGAAAGGAAATCGGTATATTAAAGAGCTATCTACTTTTCCATGTTTATTGCAGCACTATTCAAAGTAGCCAAGATCTGCAAGCAATCTAAGTGTCCATCAACAGACGCATGGATAAAGAAAATGTGGTGTACATGTGTATGTGGAGAACTATTCAGCCATCGTGTCATTTGCAAAGAACTGGAGGTCATCCTGTGAAGTGAAATAAGCCCCAGGCCCAGACAGACAAACTTTGCATGTTCTCACTTATTTGTGGCAGCCAAAATTTAAAACAATGGACCTCATGGGGAGAGACAATAGAATGATGATTACCAGAGGCTGAGAAGGGTAGTGGGGAGTGGGGGAGCAGGGATGGTTAATAATGGGTACAAAAATATAATTAGAATGAATAAGATCTAGTAGATAGCACAGCAGGGTGAGTACAGTCAACAATAATTTATTGTACATTTAAAAATAACTGAAAGAGCATAATGGGATTGTTTGTAGCACAAAGAAAGGATAAATGCTTGTTGTGATATAACCCATTTACCCTGATGTGATTATTACATATTGTAGGCCTGTGTCAAAATATCCCATGTACCCCATAAATATATACATATATATCTACTACGTACCCAAACAAAAGTTAAAAATTAAAAACAAAGCAAGGAGTGGGGGTGCTGGCCAGAGAGAGAAAACCAAGGTAGAGGGGGAGATTCTCAGCCTGAGGAAGGACCTGCCAAAAGGAGTAATGCTGGAGGGGGAGCAGTGGCACCCCAAGAGCAGGCAAAACAGATTTTAGATATGCGGTGTGGGGAGTGAGAGCCCACTGGGGTCAAGGAACCAAAAGAAAAGAAGGAAGGTCAAGGAACAGTTGGCCCAACAGCCTGTTTTAGGTCTGGGTTGGGGAGGGGAGATGGGCAGAGCAAGAACTGGAGGGCGGCATGAGCATGGGGCAGGAGTGACTGTGGGAGAACTTGGGGTAGGGTGAGGACAGGAGGGGAGGGTGCTCTGGGGGAGGGTGGGGCTTGGGAAAGATGCTCAGCACTGTCATATGCTCCAGCACTCCCACTTTCCCACTGAAAGATGAGAACGTGCTGAGGGCCCAAGGCAGCTGGGCAAGAGATAGGAGCAGCACAAGGTCCCAAGGTGGAGAGGGGCGGAGGGACCAGGGAGGGATGGTCCAGCACCTGTGGGCTGGAGGGTGGGGTCCTCAAGAGGGTGAGGCTGAGGATGAAGGAGTGGGGAAGGGGCCACAATGAGGCAGGGTCCAGAACAGGCATCTGCACTGGAGGGGAGGGGGCATCTGCGCTGCCCTGCGCCCTGCCTAAGGCCCAACTGCCATTAGCATCAGGGTTCCCCTTGGGGGTCTGGAGGGGAGTGGGATGGAGGGAAGACCCCCCCGGATAAAAGGCAGCACCAGAAAGTTAGAGTCAGGGACATTTGGGAACGGGGAGGCATAGGGGCAGCACTGGGTGAAGGCTGCTTGTAGGAAAGGCCCATAAGGGGTGCAGGAGGGACCTTCGGTGGCGGGGACAGGGGATGAGGGCAGAGGACACCCTAGAAATGGATCAGAGAACAGCACACAGGAAGGGGTAGCAGGGAGCTGGGAGGGCAAAAGGACTCAGCGGGCCCTGAGATGGGCAGGGAGGAGGTGAGAGGGAATCTGGTGTCCTTAGATCACTGGTCATTAGTAGGGGTGGGATGAGAGAGAGGAGAGGACCCTCGGAGCCAGAGGCGAGGGGAGAATGAGCTGGGGATGAGAGAAGTCGCAGGAAGAATCCTCTGCCCGGAGCCTGCAGACTCCAACCCCTCAGCTTGAGAGTCAGGACCCCCCACAGTCCCCACAGCAGCAGGAAGCACCAGCTCCGGGTCCCGAGAAAGGAGGGCCCCTACTCCAGGAGCTGCGGCCCAGGAGCTGAGAACACGTCGGCTCCGGGAGAGGACAGGACTTCAGGGACCTGAGAGCCGCCCCGAGCACCGGGGGTTGTGGCTGCTTCAGTGGCCGCGCTGGAAGGGCACTCGAATGCCATTCACAGGAGCAGCCCCGGAGGCAGCCCGGGAACCCATGGGCCTCAGAAGGACTGGTTTGTCCGAAAAGTGAGAGGAAGCGGAGGAGACGCGAGGAGAGAAAGAGCAGGAGGAGACCAGAAAGTGCAGGTGATGCGCGATCCCGAGGAGGACTGAAAAGTGACGGGGAAGCAGGGCTGAAGTGTGGCGGTAACGGGCCGCGTCCAGCTCCCTGCGCCACCGACAGGGCACAGGAGCCCCGCCCTGACCGCACAGCGCTCGCCGCTACCCACCCGACCCCCGGAAACGTCCCACTGCTCCCGCTCCGCCGAGGACCGCCAGGAACGCCACTCACCAGCAGCAGCTCCCGGAGGTGCAAAAGGGAAGATGCCAGCCAGAAGCAGGAAGACCGGGCCCAGCCCCATGGCCCCGACGTCGCCACCCTCTCAGCGGCTCAAGCAGTGGCCGGGGAGAAGGCGCCGCGGAAACTTAGTCACCTGGCCCGGTCCCCCGACCGCTCATCCAATGAAACTGGGGCCCGGAACTTAGGGCCAATCACGAGCGGAGAGGGCGGGGCCACGCTTGGAAGAGAAAATTCCAGTGGGCTGGAGACCTGGGGAGATTTAGAAGGCGGGACCTGGGGCCCAGAAAATGGGGAGCACGCGGGAGCGCAGCCTAAAGCAGGGACCAGCTTCGAGTAGCTGAGAGTACAGCTCCAACTTCATAAGCACGGCCAGGGCCCTGCCTGCCCTCCCGGCATCGCGACCACCCATCCCCGCGCCCCCACCCCGAGGAGCGCGGGCCTCACCAAGCCCCTTTCGCCGGCCGCCCCATTAAACCGGCTCTCACTGGCTTGTTCCTTCCAGGACAGACAACGCGTGGCTATTCTCCCAACACACTCCCTCAACCGCGCACAGCGTTACTGGCAATGAGACCAGTGACCAGATTTGCAGACCTGTTTCCAGATCTCAGCCACCTCTGCCTCTCAGAAGCACCTGCCGCAGTAGAACCGCTCAGACCACAAACTCTCTTAGACGTTTCAGCTTTATAATCTCCTTCTCCTCCCTTTGACTCAAAGCCAGGCCCCCCTTTCACCCCCTTATATCCTCTAAGTGTCTGAAGTCTCCCAGGGCCGCCTCTCTATTCAGTCCCTGGGTGATCACAGGGCCAAGGAGGCGGCTCCCTGTGGTTCACTACAACACCAAGCTCTCTCCAGACTCCCTTTTCCAGCCTGCCTTAGGACATCTGTACCTCCGACCATAGTCCCCTCCAATGTGAGAGATCTACAAAGACTCTCTATACGTCTGCCACCATATCATCCTCTCTTCCTCCTCAGTTTCTCTTAAGAACATCACCATCCTTGGTCCCTTCTGATTTCCTCTTTCCCCATCATCTCCGGGAGTCAAAGTCAGCTCCTTCAACGCTATTTCAATCCCACAGCCACAATCTTAGTCTAGGCTTTCCCCTCCCTTCAGCCTAGATTACTGCACAGCCTTCCTAAACACGGTGCCTGCCTCAGTTACAACCAGAGTGCTCCAAGCCACCCACAGCGCCCCATCTGCTGAATGTCACACATGATGGATGCTTCTACTCTACCGTGGAAAACCTCAGCTGCCACAATCTGCTGTCTGGCACCACCCCCATTTCTCTGGTGACATCTCCCCAGGGTTGCAGTAAACGTGGGCTCTGGGATCTCCTCACCCTATCCCACCAGGATGCCACTGCCTAAGCAGTCTCCCTCTTCCAGGCTATTGTAACCTCTGCCTTGGAACCCATCAGACCACACCATATCCTTAAAATCTTCCCAGGCTGGTCTGAGTGCAGTGTTTACAACTAATTGATCACAACCAGTTATAGATGTCTTTGTTTCTTCTTCACTCCCACTGTTTCACTTGACTAGCCTTTAAAATAAAAAGAAAAGAAAAAAGAAAAAAAGGAAAAAAAATCTTCCAGGGTAGACAGTGGTGACGGTGGCACAACCTTGTGATTACGCTAGAAGCCACTGAGCTGCACACTTTAAAAGGATAAATTGTGTGGCATATGAATTCTCAATTCTCAATAATAAGAATGCTGTCCCGAAAGCCTCTTTCTACTAAGAGAATTGCCTTGTCCCCAACGCACATCTCTTAGTCGTTGGGACATCTAGGCAGAGGTCATCAAACCTAGCCACTGCGTAGAACCACCTGGAGAGTTTTTAATATCCATGTTCCCAGGCCACAGCCACAACCTAGGTTGTTAAATCAGTAAACCCAGGTTGGACCTAAATCTTAGTATCTTTTAAAGTTCCCTAGGTGATTCCGATGTGTAGTCAAGTTTTAGAACTACTGATTTAGCCCGTGGTTTGAACCTTCCTGATAGTACTCATTGTGCCCTGCCATGAATTTTTTTTTTTTTTTAAGAGAGGAGTCTTGCTGTGTCACTCAGTTGGAATGCAGTGGCATGATTATAGCTCACTGCAGCCTTGAATGCCTGGGCTCAAGCAATCCTCCCACCACAGCCTCTTGAGTAGCTGGGACTACAGGCGAGTGCCACCACACCCAGCTGTCATCTACCATCTTCTACCCTATGAACCCTCCAAGATCAGGAAATGTGTCCGTTTCTTCTTTGTCAGCCTCACAAACTTTTTTTTTAAGTTCAACTATCCCTGTCATTACTAACTATTCCCCCATGATCCCTAGCCTATACTTTTCTGTGGATGAAAATGTAATGTATTCGAGAATTTTAACAATTTCTTAGTTTTCCCATTCACATTCACTGATAATTTATTTTGATCCTCATAATTTATTGAGCACAGCAGGGACCGGGGTCCTTTCCCCACCTTAGAGAGATTATTTTCACTGCTAAAGATCATAAGCCTAGTGAGAGACTGGGAGGGAGATGGACCTAGCTCTCCTGACACAGGTCCCAAGCCCTTACCTCCACGGTGTCTACCCTCCCTCCAGGACTTCCTCCGTGTGCCAGCTCCAGCAAAGGATCTGATTCAGCTCGCCCCCAAAAAAGACTTTTAATAGTTCAATAACAATAATGAATATGCAAGGTTTGTTCTAAGGCATTTAGAAATGGTTTCAGGGAGTCATGAAGCCAGTCCTCTCTTGGGCTAGGGGAGGCCGAGATGGTCTTGAGCTCCAGGGGACTTGTTTCTTAGTGCCCAGGCCTGGGCGCCCCTCCCCCACCAAGCCTCCCAGGTCTTCTGTCCAAAGCCCTCCCCCTCCACCCCACCTCCAACCCCGTCTGCTCTACCCCATCAACTACGTTTTCTCCCTCAGCACTTGCCTTATACCCCATGCACTCACGAGCACAGAGGCGACTTCCCTCTCTCAGACTTTAGGCGCCACTGCAGGGTCCGGAAAAGAAAGAGAAACGGCCCAGCGCGGTCGCTTACATAACCCAGGGCGGGGCTCCGCTCCGCCCCCGAAAGTTTTTGCGACGGAGTTTTCCCTCTTGTTGCCCAGGCTGAAGTGCAATGGCGCGATCTCGGCTCACCGCAACCTCCGCCTCCAAGGTTTAAGCGATTCTCCTGCCTCAGCCTCCCGACTAGCTGGGATTACAGGCATTCACCACCAAGCCCGTCTAATTTTATATTTTTAGTAGAGACGGGATTTCCCCATGTTGGTCAGGTTGGTCTCGAGCTCCCGACCTCAGGTGATCGCCCGCCTCGACCTCCCAAAGTGCTGGGATTACAGGCGTGAACCACCGTGCCCGGCCTTGGCCGCATGTGTTTTGAATTTTGCTGCCCGGAATTCACTGCGAGGACTGGGATCACCCGTCACCCCGCCCTGGTCTACGGAAAATGAAATGTGTTTACTGATATAGAAACGGAATAACGGCGCTGTGGGCTGGGGAGGGCCGAGCTGCCTTCAGGCTTCTGGTCTCCAGCTGCAGGGCACTCACACCTGCCCGTTATGAAAATGCAGACCCGCAGGGCAGGAATTCCGAGTCCGGGCTGGAGCGCGATCTGGAATCCGGCTTTCTTGAAACAGCACCGCGGAGGATTCGGATCCGGGTGAGTAGGAAACTGCGCCTCAGCCCCTCCCACGGGCCGCCCACGTATTCCAGGATCCGAAAACGCTTCCTGCTGCTCCGTCACCCCAGGAAGGCAGCGTCCGCCTCTGGGCGGTTCTGATGGAAACCGGCTGCGCCGCCCGCAGGAAAACCCACAACTAAGGGGCCAGGAAAAAGCCTCTTAGGGTCCCGCCACTTCAGTGAGGATCCTAATTTACACCCTTAGTTTGGCCTCCATGAAAGACTGGAGTGACCTTCACTGAAATGATACAAGGGGCCCAGGGAGCTGCGGCGCTCAGAATGCGGTGACAGCGCCGCCTCGCGTCCCTTCCCTGACCTGCTCCCGGCGGACGCGGAGAAGTTTGTTGGCCTGGAGGCTGGAATATACCGGGGATCAAATGCAGAGAATGGAGAAAAGAGGGAAGGATGGGGGGACGTGTTGAAGAAATGAGGGAAGAGATAGGAAGAAAAGGGGAGAGAAAAAGTAAAGGAGAGTTTTTTTTTTTTTTTTTTTTTTTTGAGACGGAGTCTTGCTCTGTCGCCCAGGCTGGAGTGCAGTGGCGCGATCTTGGCTCACTGCAAGCTCCGCCTCCCGGGTTCAGGGCATTCTGCTGCCTCAGCCTCTGGAGTAGCTGGGACTACAGGCTCCTGCCACCACGCCCGACTAATTTTTTGTATTTTTAGTAGAGACGGGGTTTCACTGTGTTAGCCAGGATGGTCTCGATCTCCTGACCTCGTGATCTGCCTGCCTCGGCCTCTCAAAGTGCTGGGATTACAGGCGTGAGCCACCGCACCCGGCCGGAGAGAGAAAATTTAAAAGACGTAGTTTCATTATTTCTTTTATTTTTGCCCTTTATCTAGTTTTACTTATGAACATTTTTACCACAAATTTCTCTCTCTCTAAATCTGTAAATATGCTGCTATTATTGTTATTTCAGAGCCTGTGAGGGTAAGTTGCAGACAGCATGACCCTCTACCTCCAGATGTGTCAGGGTGTGTCTCCTGGGCACAAGAACAGGGTTTTTGTTTTGTTTTGTTTCACATAAGCAAAGTACAAGTCTCAAAGAGGATAATATTTTTAAATCATCTTATTGGGACATACTTTGCATGCAATAAACTGCATCTATTTAAAATGTTCAACTTGTTGAATTTTAGCTGTTGTACACACCCACATCTCCACTACCACAGTGAAGATAAAGAAGATTTTAATCGTCTCCCAAAGAACAGCTACACGATAAAATTCTATGTTGTCATTAAAAAGAGTAAGAGCAATTTTAAGTATTGCTATGAAAAGATGTGCCCAGCATACTTTTAACCTTTTTTAAAAGGTTAAGGAGGCTGGGCACAGTGGCTCATGCCTGTAATCCCAGAACTTTGGGAGGCTATGGCAGGCAGATAACCTGAGGTCAGAAGTTCAAGATCAGCCTGGCCAACATGGTGAAACCCTGTCTCTACTGAAAATGCAAAAATTAGCCGGGCGTGGTGGTGGGTGCCTGTAGTTCCAGCTGTTTGGGAGGCTGAGGCAGGAGAATCGCTTGAATCTGGGAGGTAGAGGTTAGAGTGAGCCGAGATCATGCCACTGCATTCCAGCCTGGGCGAAAATGCCACTAATATCACTTACATAATATTAATATATATTTGAAGTAGGGGAAAACCTGGAAGATTCCTCACCAAAGTTTTGACAGTGACTCCAGAGACTGGGATAACTTTGTGACTTTCATTTCCTCTTAAATGTTGTGCCAGGGTCTGACCGGCAGACCCAGGCTGCACGATGGATGAATAATGTACTCAGACACCGATATTCAGTGAAAGAGTGCACCAGAGGGCCAGGCCACTCACAGAAAGGGTTGTGGCAGCTGCGTGCCCTGACTATCTGGCCCTGTGGGCCTTTATTCAGCACAGATTTAATGACAAAGGCTTTGAGTCAACACACCTGTGGGTAATTAATCTGGTCGCAGTCCCCCGGAGAGAGCAGTCCTACAAATGATCAAAGGTAAACATGCTCTTTAGATAAACTCTCTTACATGTCTTTGTACTTACTCGAAGCTATTAACTCAAGGTAAGGGGATTAGGCTGCTTTCAGCTATAACCCTATCCTGAGGCTTTTGCAAAACTTTCCACTTTCCAAGAAGGTTTGTGTCTATTTCCTATAACTTTATCTTTATAATTATTCCCACCACCTGACCAATCCCCTACAATGTTGGAATTTTATCTTTTAGTGTAAACTTGGATTTGGGTGGATTGCAGTGGTTCATGACTATAATCCCAGCTCTTTGGGAATCGAAGGCAGGAAGATTGCTTAAGCCCAGGAGTTCCAGGCTGCAGTGAGCTATGATTGTGCCATTGCACTCCAGCCTGAGTGACAGGAGGAGACCCTGTCCCCAAAACAGAAAAATAAATAAAATTTTAAAATAATAAAAATTATAAACTTGGATTTATGTGGAGGTTAAGGAAGAGAATATTTCAGTTTGAAAATATGAAGCTAAGCCCCACAACGAAATAGTTACAGAGTTTTAAAAAAGAAAATGTTCATTAAAACCCACCACCAGAAACTCTCTTTCAAGAGGATCCTTCATATTTTCATGGCATTGAATCTTTCTTAAAGTGCATTTGAAAGAGATGTTTTCAGTGGAATAGAGAGATGTGTAACAATATTTACAAAAGCGGTTGGCTGTAATAAAAAGGAAAACGCAAATGAGTGGGGACACAGGGGACCCTGTTCCATTTATTCTCAAAGCACGTTTGAAAACTGCGTTGCCATAGCGTCCTTGGGTAGAGGCAAAGTCGAGGCAGATCTTGTTCCTGGAGTATTGATTTGATTTTGGAAACGGTCCAAGGCTTTCAGAAATCAGGCTGACTTTCAGATCTAAAGTCTCAAGAATATTCGTTCTAGCAGTGAGCCTGTGAGAATCTAGCCCATCTGGGCGATGCACGCTCTGCTTCCACCTAGTGGCAGTGATTGGAAGGACAGGGCACAGTGTTACTGCATGGGTGGGGCTGAAGCCAAGGTGAAACCGCCTTTGCAAAATTATAACTAAGGAAATGATGACAGTGAAAGACATCAAACCTAACTGACCCCATCTTGCTTCCAACCGCTAAACTGCCCTTCTTCATTTCTAGGTGTAGGCTGAACTAGCCTTGGGAAGGAATTTAGTTTATAGTTTAAAGGGAAACTGTTCTTGTAAAACGAAGAAAGGCCACCGGCCATTAAGTTAGGATGAGAGGGGCTGGAATTCTGAATATTACCAGCCATTATTCCAGAGGTCATAAGATTTGCAACTTCTCCAGTTACTCTTGAAGGTAACATCACTATTGTGAACCTCAGAGTGGCCTTTTGAGATGTCTTTTCAGGTTTTTGTATTTTTAACAGCTGGAGGGCCCCATCTGGACCTGCCAACCAGTCCTGTGGCCCCCACGTTCAGGAACTGACTCAGCCTAAGAGAATGGCCTCCACTCACTATGATTTCATACCGGAGCCAACCAGTCAGCACTCCCGATTCACTGGCCCCCCTATCCACCAAATTATCCTTAAAAACTGATGAGAGTTTTTGGGGAGACTGATTTGAGTAATAAAACTCTGGTCTCCCGCACAGCTGGCTCTGCATGAATTACTCTTTCTCTGTTGCAATTCTCCTGTCTTGATAAATCGGCTTCGTCTAGGTAGCCGGCAAGATGAACCCACTTGGTGGTTACAAAGGGAGTCCAGGCCAGTGTGCATTACTGTAGTGGGGTCCAGGTAGCGGAGGAAAGGCGAGGACACTCAGGGAATAAATGGCAGAGGAAGAAGGAGCACAAGGGAGGACCCAAACCCTCCAGACCTCTCCTTCCTTCTCTCCCTGTTAGGGTTGGAGGGAACCAGCGTGGTCCCAGGAGGGGTGGCTGGTGGGGTGCAGAAAACGCCCTGGTTGCAAAGGGGCCTCACGTGCCCGACACAAGGGTCCTGGCTGTTAGCTGCTACTCATGAGTTCAAACTAGGAGGAGGCTCACACGTGTCCTTTGCAAAGTAGACTCCTTATCTCCCACTCCGGCTGGTTTCCCAAATCCATCCTGATAAAGCAGAAAAACCAAGAGCCAAATTCTGCGGGTGACCTTTCTGACAGCTGGAAGGTCCTCCCCATCCCCATTCCTTGCGTGCTCTCCTCTTGTCCTGCCCCCTCTGCTTTGTCTCCACTTCCTCATCCTTTTCCCTCTCTGGACCCTGCTCCTGAGTATCTCCCACCTTCTTCAGACAACTTCTCCTCATGAAGTACAGAGTCCCCCACCTCCAGGAAAAAGAGACAAAGACCACGAGAAGGACCTGAGAAACGCCTGTGACCCCACCCCTGAGTCCAGCCTCTCCCTCAGCGCTGGCTCTGGCTGTGTGTGTGTGTATGTATTTTTGTTTTGTTTGTTTGTTTTTGAGACAGGGTCTCACTCTGACAGTCTGCAGTGTCCTGATCACAGCTTACTGCAGGCTCCAACTCCTGGACTCAGGCAATCCTCCCACCTCAGCTTCTCGAGTAGCTGGGACTACAGACTGGAGCCACCACACCCAGTGTGTGTGTGTGTGTGTGTGTGTGTGTGTGTGTGTTTGTGTATATATATACCCTTTTTTTTTTTTTTTTTTTTTTTTTGTAGAGACTGGGTCTTGCTTTGTTACCCATGCTGGTCTTGAACTTCTGGCTTCAAACAATTCTCATGCCTCAGCCTCCCAAAGTGCTGAGATTACAGGCATAAACCACAATGCCTGGCCCCTGTGTGTGTACATACAAAGTCAAAGTGCTAAACCTGGCGCCTAGGAAACATCCCCACCTAGGCATTGCTTGCAACAGTCGGTATTTTGTGCACCTGTGCTTTTATTTCAGGAGCTGGGACAGTTATATTCATCAGAACAGCACGGTGTCAAGGCCCTCACCCCCAGAAAGCTTAGGAGACACTGTTTTATGGAGGAGAGTGAGATTGGAGGAAGCCCTGACTCCAGGTCTCCTGATCCTTCCTACACAAAGCGAAGCTGAAAAAAAGTGCAGGACACTCCATTTCCTCCTGGGACCAGACAGGGAAGCCAGAGCCACCATGGATGTCAAATTCCGGCAAGGAAACACCAGTATAGCAAAATCTCCACATCACATTTTAAAGCTCACACAATGGCTCAAAGAGAACCCACATCAAAAAACCGAATTCCTAGCTCAGGTGAGATCACCAAAGTTGCCTGTGAGGCTTCGTGGAACCTGCAGGTAGAAAGGACATCTTTATTTCGAGCTGCAGCCCAGTTGCTTCTGCGTCTTGGAGCCCCTTGAAAGGACCCTCTCCCTTCAACAGTACATAGGGAGGCCATTTCTGGGGAGAAATGTAGACTGTCCTTAGACTCCTGAGGTTTTTACACTTGCTTGCTGACTCTGTGGACTTTGACTTCATCATTAAACATCTTATAATGATGTAATTTGCTTTGACTGTAAGTGTAGAACAGGACGCTGTTCCTGAATCAGGAAACAAGGGACTGGTGACCTGAACTGCCACCACCCTCCCTGGTGCTCAGATGCAATGAAATCGTGAGGCAACAAATCTATGGCTAGGTAAAGGGTCAACTCCATTTCAGCAAATGTTTCAGATGTTCCTTCCTGCCTAGTAATGTTCCAGCTTTACCCCAGCCTTAATCTTTTAAAATGTATATTTTCCTTAGCGTTGATTTTAAAGTAATTCGTATGTATTTATTACACTGGGTTTGTTGCAGTAAGCCACCTCGAATGTTGCTGTAGAATTAAAGTAAGCAAATAAATGTGTGGTTCTCCAAGGAGTTATTGCTAACACCATCTTAAAAATGTATTAACCCCAAATCCAATCACTTCTCACTCCTCTACTGCCTCCTCCCCAGGGCCATCCTCTCCAAGATAGTAAACCAGAAGGCCTTCCAGCTGGGCTGCCTGCTGACTCTCACACCCGCTGTCCATCACCCACACAATAGTCAGAGTGAGCATTTCAAATGGGAATTAGAGCTCATCCTCGCCTCCGCGTCCCACAGACATGCCAGCCTCTTCCCTTCTTAGCACAGTGAAACCCCAGTCTCTCACTATGTTTTACAGCCCCTCATCCCTCATCACAGGATCCTTCTGGCCACTCTGGCCTCATCCCACCCCTCTCGGCCCAGCTCATTCATCTCCACTAACACTGCTCAATCCTGTCTCAGGCACCTCCCACTGGAACTCCCCAAGTGCACCTGCTCCCCAGGGATCCAAAGGGATCCAAAGGCCCCTCACACCATTCAGGTCTCTGCTCAGACGTCCAGTGTTCAAATTCCCAGGAACATCTTGATCAACAGACTATATCTCCTACCATCCTCACCACCATCAACCTTCTAGCTCAAGCATATTTTCTCCATAACAATTATCACCGGTATTAGAATTGTTTTCATTTGTTTCATTGGTTGTCATGTTCTTCGAGGCAGGGACCTTGTCTAGTCACCACTTGGATTTCCAGCATCTAGAAATCCAAGGACAGAGAAGGGGCTCAATAAATATGGGTTGAGTAAATGGGTGAATATAATTGGTACACTGCTTTTTTTTTTTTTTTTTTTTTTTTTTTTGAGACAGAGTCTCTCTCTGTCACCCAGGCTGGAGTGCAGTGGCATGATCTCGGCTCACTGCAAGCTCTGCCTCCTGGGTTCACACCATTCTCCTGCCTCAGCCTCCAGAGTAGCTGGGATTACAGGCGTCCGCCACCACGCTTGGCTAATTTTTTGTATTTTTAGTAGAGATGGGGTTTCACTGTGTTAGCCAGAATGGTCTGGATCTCCTGACCTCGTGATCTGCCCGCCTGGGCCTCCCAAAGTGCTGGGATTACAGGCGTGAGCCTCTGCGCCCAGCCGGTACACTGCTTTTGAGAAGTAATTTGATAATATGTATGAGAAGGCTTAAAAATGTTCATGCGGCCAGGCATGATGGCTCACGCCTGTAATCCCAGCACTTTGGGAGGCCGAGGCGGGTGGATCATGAGGTCAGGAGTTCGAGACCAGCATGGCCAATATGGTGAAACTCTGTCTCTACTAAAAATACAAAAAGTAGCCAGGTGTGGTGACGTGTGCCTGTAATCCCAGCTACTTAGGAGGTTGAGGCAGGAGAATCTCTTGAACCCAGGAGGTGGAGGTTGCAGTGAGCTGAGATCTCGCCACTGCACTCCATCCTGTGTGACAAAGCGAGATTCCGTCTCAAAAAAAAAAAAAAATTTCATGCCTTTTGACCCAGTAACTTTTATTGAGAAATCTGTGATTTTAAAACAAAATCCAATATATAGAAAGATCTTTAGGTATAAGGATATTAATTACAATAATGAAAAAAACATGCAAAAGAAGAGTGGCTAGGTCCTCTGTTTGGAAACAGCCTACAGCTGGTGAAAGCTGTGTGTAAGAAGATTTTGTAATATGATAGAAAGTTGTGTATTGATAATAAAGTTTTGAAAAGCAAGATTCAAAATAACTCATAAGCATGACGACACTAAGTCATCCTGCACAGTCACCCGCATGCACAAAAACCAGGAGTGGAAACTCAGGGGCAGCTGCAAAGCACAGCTCCAGGCCCCTTCCCTCTGAAGTCTGAGGCTCTGCCAGGCAACGTTTCATCCCGATCCTCCCAGTGGAGACACTGGCAGTTTCCATCCTTCTGCTTCTTTATACCTTTTTATATTTTCTGTACTTGAGATTTTACTTCCTAAGAAGATAAAATACCTATTAGAAAGTTTTAAAAATTTGAAATAAAATTTTAAAGAAGTCCAAATGTCTGGCCAGGCGCATTGGCTCATGCCTGTAATCCCTGCACTTTGGGAGGCCGAGGCGGGCAGATCACGAGGTGAGGAGTTCGAGACCAGCCTGGCCAACATAGCGAAACCCTGTCTCTACTAAAAATACAAAAAATTAGCTGGATGTGGTGGTGGGTGTCTGTAATTCCAGCTACTCAGGAGACTGAGGCAGGAGAATCGCTGGAACTCGAGACGCAGAGCTTGCAGTGAGCCAAAATCGTGCCACTACACTCCAGCCTGGGTGATAAGAGCAAAACTCTGTCTCAAAAAAAAAAAAAAAAAAAAGTCCAAATGTCCATTCCCAACTCAGCTTCAAGGAAAGTCTCCTCTAGACTCCACAGGGTAGAAATTCCTGTTGATGGCACCTTCAGAAGGTAAGAAAGGAACTCGTCCTCCACCATGCCTGACCCGTCTTTGGGTTTTAGGCATTGGCCGACTGATAAAGGCAATACTGAGAGTGTGATCAATGTGTAGACGACCGATTGTCATATAATATGAATCTCACCACACCTGAGAGAGTGGGATAGGTTCTCTCATTTTCATAGTTTGGGCATCTGAGTCCCTGAGAGCCTGAATGCCTGACATGGATTCTCCAAGAATGTTGGCCTTCAGACTCTAAAGGGCCCCGGGTCTCCTGTGAAGCCCCCTGTGCATGCACCACACCCGCAGAGGCTCCACAACGGCGGGAAGGGCACCCAGGGTCAGAGCCCAGGCGAGTTCACACTCGGGGACCATCCACATCCAGGGCGTGCAGGGGAGGGGCCGAGGTGAGAGCCCAACCCCTGCCTAGGCTGTGGTGACTGGTGGCTGCACGGGGGTCCCAGCGCTCCTGGAGCTATCATTCTTTATCTCCTGAAGACCCCGGACCCGCACATACCAAAATTCTGCATTTCTGGTGGAGCGGTCTTCTCTTTTGAGATGTAAACACTACTTCTCGAATCTTAAAGCCAGCCATTGCCACTCCTAAGGGATAAGCCTCTAACTCCACTGAAATTAGCCTCAGAATTTCAGCTGAGCATTTGGAGCCACAGGCAGGAAGTCTGTGGGATTTGCACCTGGCTGATCTGGAAGGTGGTCCTGAAAGGTAGTGTGTGACTAGGGGGGCTTTGAGGGGCATGGATGTCCCTGATGAGAGGAGAACAAGACAGATGGGAAGGTTCCAAAAGTGAACTTTAGGGGGCCCTGTGCCCATCACTAGGATTTGGAAAATCTTTTCCCAGCCACTTTTGGCCTGTGGGTTTTCATTCTGCTTTCCTGTCTGCCAAGCCATTCCAGGCAATCCCTTCATTTGGTAAACATTTATCAAATACCTACTGTGTGCAGGGCATTGTTTTAAGAGGAGCTGGGACTGAGATAAGAGGAAATAAACCCTCCTTGCCCTCAAGGCGTGCCCAGTCTTGCTCAGGCAGAGATCAGTAAGGAAATCATAACACAAATTGAGAGAGGAAAAAGGAAGAAACTGGTCAGGCGGGCAGTTATGGTGGGTCCTCAGTTGAATTATTTCAAACAAAAGAACGGCCTGCAGGCACAGAGAAGGGAACTTGCACAGGGGGGCTTGCCTAAGACATGCCCACAGCTGCACAAATAAGAAAGGCTGCACAGGAGACTTGCCCAGACATGCCCGCTATGGAAAATTCTGTCCCCCGATACGTGGGCAGTCAGGGAAACAAAGCAATATGGAGTAACTTAAGCTAAGGGCCTGCATGGGCACTAGGAGGATGGGGTGGAGCTACCGGAAATTCGTGCCTTATGCAAATGAGACACCCAGCCCTCATCAGTTTCTTATAAAAGGCTTTGCATTCAGCTGTAAAAATGGCAACCATCTTCCAAGCCCCCTCTCCGTGGGGGAGAGCTTTCTTCTTTTGCTTATTAAACTTTTGCTCCAACCTCACCCTTTGTATCCATGCTCCTTAATTCTCTTGGTGGTGAGACAAAGAACTCCAGGTAACACCTCACAAGGAGAGACTGAGAGGCTGCTACGTTGTGGTGCATTGGCAAGACTAACAAACTGGCTAGTGGGACATGCACACTTGCTTGGTAGACATATATGTAGATCTTCAGCTCTGACTAATGAAGGAATACCAAAAATCTCATAAAAGAAAATAATATTATTTGAGCTTTGTTTTGTGGTGTAAGTGGGAGCCCCACAGGCACCCAGGGTAGGAGAGCTTTGCTCAGAATCCAGGAAGTGAACATCTTTCCCTGGGCCAGGCCAAGAATGAGACTAAGCTGATTGAGGAGCCTGGTGCCTCCTGGCAAGAAAGGGTGTCTGACACCTGACTATCCAGAAGTCACAGCTACTCAATATTGAGACTTGAAACAGAGAGAGAGACAGAGAGAGAGAGAGAGAGACAGAGAGAGAGAGAGAGACAGAGAGAGAGAGAGAGACAGAGAGAGAGAGAGAGAGAGAGAGAGAGATCTGATTTGAAAAGCAGAATTCTGCTGGGGGCTTGTTAAATGCAGAGTTTCTGATACAGTAGGTCCAGGCCAGGCCCTGAAGATTGCATATCTAAGTTCCCAGGTGATGCCAATGCTGCTTCCCCCAGGACCACACTTTGAGAACCACCACCCTAAGGCAATCTGTGTTGGTTTCTAATATCAGAAGAGGGCTGGGAGTGGGCTGGGAGGCAGAGGTGTAGGATCAGTGAGACCACACCTGACCCACCCTGGACAGCTCCCCACCCCAATCTTGCAGGATTTTATTTCCTGGGAGTCCTGGGAATGGAAGACACCCAGGAAGGGACCAAATGTGGGGTCACAGGGTGATCCAGAGGCTCGGCTTCATACAGCACCTGGGGCTCCCGCCACTCCACAACTGGCCCCCACACCCTCAGTCTTCCCACCCCTCACGACACTGACCTCCAGACCTTCCTCGACTAATCTCAGCAGGTTGGGCCTGGGATGTGACACTAGGAGCTCTGAGTGTACCTTCTGATCCAAAGATAGGGTGACCGCGTATGACAAGTACTCAGATGGGCCATTAATAGGACCTTGAACATTTGGCAAATGGCTTCAGTCACGTGTGCTTGAGAATTCCAGTGTTTTCTAGATATGGCATCCATGAGCCCACACAAACACTGGAGGGCGTCGTGAGCATACTGAAACCCATAACTGCTGTACTGGATCCCCTAGAATCCCTTTCCCACTTAGACCAAGATTTGAACAAAATTTCCTTCACCAAACAAACTGCATTTAATTAATCATGCTGTTATTTTACCTTGTAATGGAAAAAAGACAGATGTAAAGAAAGATCATGCAATTAAAAAGAAAACAACGTACTGAATTAAAATGGCAGTAAACCTCCTTGTTAAAGGAATAACATAATATTTAGAAAATTTTTAAATTTTATTTCGATAAAGGTTAAAAAATTCCATTAGTTTTTAAAAAGTTTTTCATTTTGAATTTTTTGGGGGTTTGTTTGGTCTCCTTAGGAATTATCTTTTATTTCTTGATATAGTTCAAAATTCAAAATTCAAAATATTCAAAAGGTAAAATGTCTCTCTCTTACCCTGTCTCATCCCCAACAGGCAACCAAGGATATTAACTTCTTGCTTATTCTTCCAAATATATTTTATGCATATGCAAGCAAATATAAATGTGTACATATATATCCTTTGTCCCTTTTCACACAAATTTTAGCAGACTCTATATGTTATTCTACACCTTGCTTTATTTCTTCATGAGGGAATATCAAGAGTTTTCTATGTCTTTCTTCTTTTGTGTTAAATGTTTGTAGACTCTGCCGTGTAGCTATGCAGTGCTTGTTTGGGTTTTCTTAAGAAGGGAGGCCTCCTTATGTTACCCAGAGTGGAGTAGAGTGTATTCACAGGTGAATGCTACTGTGCCCAGCTTGCAATGCTTTTTTAACCAGTCCCCTAGTGACAGACATTTGGATTATTTTTTCTTTTATCTGTCATTTTCTTTCTTCTTTTCTTTTTGCTTTTACAAACAGGGTTGCAACATATAATTCTGAATACAGTCATTTTTCAGGAATGCAGGTGTGTTTTGGACACATTTCTAGAAGTGGGACTACTGGGTGTATGCATTTTTAATTTGGACAGAAATAGCCATACTGCCTTTCCTGAAAACATTTCCAGTTTGCAGGCCCATCTGCAGTATATCAGAGTACCTGTTTTGGTACCATTATTTTTTTGATTATAGAAATATGTAGAGATATATATTTGGGAGCCATCTGTGTCTAGATGATATTTAAAATCCTGAGAGTGGAGGACACCGGAGTGATTAGGAAGGTAGTAACACCCCAGAGTGCTCCAGCATCTACAGCAAAAGGAGCCAATGAAGGGGGACTGAGGAGGAGCAGCCAGTTGGGGAGGAAGAGAACTTGACCTGTAAAATGTCAAAGAAGATTTTAAAGGGGGGAGCTGATACAACCTCTTCAGAGAACAATTTGACATCCTATAACACCACATGGTAAAAGCACAGTAATCCCATTCCTACATCCATATCTTGGGGAACTCACACAGGGGACCAGAGAGAGATGACCCAGGATGTTCATTGTGGCAGTGTCTGTAACAGAAACAAGCTAAAGGTCACGGACAGAAGAGATAAATTGTGGGATATTCCTCCCATGAATACTATCCAGAACTGAAAACAAAGTAACTGTTTCTATGGGTGTGGGTTCACCTCATAAACCATATTAAATGATAAAGCAAGCCACAGAATGATACATTCAACAAAAAACAATTTATACGAAGTCTAAAATCATGTAAAACAAAGGGATTTTAAAAACTTTGTAACAATATAAAGGCATTCACCAAATTCAAGACATCCGCCACTCCCCACTGGCAGTCCTTGCTTTACTCAGTACAGTATCGACTGAAACACATACATAACAGAACTGTGGAAAATCAGGGCTATCTGCATATATTTCTATTATTTTCTATGTATACTACATATAGCCAATAATATTAAAATGTTACAAATTGACAAACCTGAGTGGTGGCTTCACAAAGATTTCTTTTAATTCTCTATTCTTCCAGCTAGAACTACTTCAGCTAGATCAAGTGGTGGCAGTGATCTGCAAAAGTCAGAGGTCACAGTTACCATGACAACCCCAACAGAGCAGGCAAGGTTGTGCTTGACCTGCAGGGAGTGTGGGGAAGGTTAACAGAGGGCAGTGTCCCAGGTTCAGAACAGAAGGACAGCCAGCAAGGGCGCTGCTTGATATCTATGAAAAGAAAGCAAGAATTGAGGAGCAGGAGGCTGAGGGTGTTTGATCCAAGACAAAGTCATAATCTGTTCTCAATGCCTAGACCTCACCTAACTTTCAGATTCAGATCCCAATGACAGAGGAGGGGAGTCCATATCCCTAGGAGGAAGAACCCTGGAACACCCTGGGAGTATATGCTGGGTCAATTCCCTGAACTCTTCTGCAAAGGAACCTACAGCCATTTACACAGGAGACTGTACACCGGGAAAGGGAAATAGGCAGAATTTGGGTGAGTATTGACTTTGTGTGTGAACTAACATTGATGCCCAGATTCCTACAGCACCATCGTGTCCCATCACAGAGGGGCTTCCAGAGGCCAGGACACATTATAGCTCACAATCCCGTAGTCCCAGCCCTGTTTAGTTCCCTATTCCTTGAGTGCATAATGGCATTGATGCACTGGCAGCTGGAGTGACCCCCACACCGCGTCTCTAACCTGTGGATTAATGGCTCTTATTGCACTGAAGGCTAAAGGGAAACCTCTGAAACTGCCCCTATCCCAACCGAAGCGATATTACGTCCCAGGGCAGGTCTTGGAGGTTATTGCAGGTATTGTGGGGGGTAGCACCACCATTAGAGAGCTGTAGGAGGTGGGATAGTGCTGGAGTTGCCTATTATCTCCGTGTATTCTGTCCTTGCAGAAGCCCAATAGGACCTAAAGAATGAACAGGATTACTTCAGACTTGACCAAGTAGTGGTCTTGATTGCAGCTGCCATGCTGGCTGGATATCACTGCTAGCAGAAGTTAATGAGGCTGCAGGCCAATGGTGTGCAGCCGAGGATTTGCTGAGTGCATTCCTTTCCAGCTAGAAAGTGGATATGGAGTTATTCACATTCATACCACATTTATTTACACTTTCCCTGAGAGCTATTATAACTCTTCTGTCATCTGTAACATAGTCTTAAGAGATGCCGGACATTCTACAGAATATTAAATCTGTTCATTTCATTGGCAACATCATAGATTGGGATGGATGAGAAAGAAGGTGGAAAGTATGCTGGAGGTCTTGGTAAAACACATGCACCCCAGAAAGAGGAGGATAAATCTTACAGAAATTTAGGAGTGGCAACTGCAGTGAAATTTTATGGGTCCAGTGGCTAGGTGCATGCAGAGATATTTCTTCCAAGTAAAAACAAAAGAAAACAGAAAAAAAAACCCGTTGCATCTTTCATCTTCAGTGAGAAAAAAAAAAAAAAGAGAGAGAAGCGGACTGCCTGGTGAATCTCTTTGGGTTCTGACAACACCACATTCCACATCTAGGTATATCATTTTGGCCACATTTTGGGTGACATAGGAGGATGCCAGATTCAAGTGGAGCCTACACAGGAAAGGACTCTGCAGCAGATCCAGGCTGTGGTGCAGGCAGCCACCATCCCTCAGACCCCCTGGTGCTGGAGGTGGCAGGGCTGGGGAAAGATGCAGGATGGAGTGAACTGAGCATCAGTGGGGAAAGTCACAATGGAGGGCCTGGGATTCTGGAGTAAGTTCATGTCATCCACAGCAGAAATATATGCCCCCTTCTCGAAGCAACTTTTAGTGTTGCTGGCCCTGATCAGATAGAATTCTTGACCACAGGACACTGAGAACCACGTAATTCCAAGTGGTTGTATGAATTGGCTTCTGTGTGACCTACAGAGTTATAGATTGGACAGGCCCAACAGTGTCCATCATGAGATGGAAATGGTCCATGTGGAATGAGCCCAAACCCCAAGTTAACACCCCATCTGCCCAGAAAATACCTGCCCCTGAGGTGGCACTGAACAACCAAGCAGACAAATGGAAGTTAGCCAGCCTTCACTGGGGGCCATCTCAGGCCTTGCAGGGTGGGAACATGCATGCAGGAATCACAATAGCTCCCTTCATGTGCCCATCCTTCCAGGTCACTCAGTGGCCTTGGTCGGTGGGAGTCAGTGCTGCTGGACCCATAGGTAGCCTCCAAAAGGTGAGACTCCCACCTACCAAGGCCGAACTAGCTGCTGCCACCTCTGAATATCCAACTTGTCAGGATTAGACACCCGTGATAGGCCCTGATGTGCCCTGCTTAGGCACTATTTCTTTAGGTGATCAAAGTGCCACTAAATGACACATTGACCACATTAAGCCTCATCATGGAAGGGCCAGAGATTCATCCTCACTGGGACAGAAACTTCCTCCATGGGTAGGCTTTTTCCCCCACTATTCTCAGACTCTCAGCCAGCACCACTGACATTCCTGATCCACAGGTTTGGAATTACTCTCAGCACAGCCTCTTCCTGGGGGACCCACCTCACAGGGAAATGGAAGTGGGTGCAGCATGGACCATGACCAGGGGATCCACTGATCCTATCACCATCTGCACCCTGCGGGGGCTGCCGGCCACACAGAACATTGGACAGGCCTTCAACAGGCACAACTCAGAACCAGCTTGGAGGAAACACTGAGGAATGGGTGCCATCTTTCAGGGCACGGTGCATTTATTGAATCAGAGACATCACTACGGTGCTGTATTCTCAGTAGGAGGAAACTTGGGTCCAGAAACCAAGGGATGGAAGAGAGTGTGGCTGCATGTCCCATCCCTTATATTCACCCACTGTGGAACTTGGACTTCTCATATCCCAAATCTGGGCTTTGTAGTATAGGAGGTCCTGGTTTTCCACAGGGAGGCACTCAGACAAGGGGACAAACAAGAGCCCATTGAGCTACACATTACAGTTGCCCGCAGGACAGTATGGGCCTAGAGACAAGCAGGGAAGAGGAGCACTCCCCTCCTCTCCAGGCAGGAGTGATGGACCCTCATCCCCAGGACGAGGCAGGGCTGCTGATACACAGTAAGGGCAGGAGGAGTTTGTGTGGAACCCAGAGATTCACTTGGGGACTTCCTTGTTTCCCTTGTCCCATTGTAAATGTGAACAGAATCGTCCAGCAACCCAGTCTGACAGCGTTTGATTTCCAAAGGCCCAGACCCCTCAGGAGGAAGATTGGAGCCGCATTTCCAGGAAATTTCCCAAGGCCTCCCTCCCGTGCTCTGTCATTCTCAGCAGCATTGGTGCAGAGGCCCTGCTTCCCATGGGCTGTTCCCAGCCACTGACACGTAACAGCAGGGGCACTAAGACAGACCATTCCTGGGCAACAGGAGACTCCTCTGTTGGCCATCTGTGGCTGGAGGACTCCTCCATGGCCTTGCTCAACTCTCCTTAGATTGCTTGTGGTCTAGGATGCGTCCAACAACCCTTCTTTCCTTTTGTCCAGGACTGGAGTCAGCCTTGCCTCTGGGCCTGCCACTTTTCCCAGGGTTATCTGGCTCCCTCCCCGTATTCTTTGACAGGCGTGTCCCCCAGTAAACCTGGTGAGAGGCTCTGAGCCAGAAGCACTCAAGGAAATCTCTCCCAGATTCCTGACCACTGGAAACTGTGGGAGATGATAAGAATTTGTTGTTTTGGGTTGTCAAACTTTATGTTATTTATTATACAACAATAGACAATAGCGCTTCAAAAGAGAGAATGAATTACTACACTTTAATTTTTATTTACTCTAAATTAACTAAAAGATATTCAGTGTTATTTGGTTTTAAGATTTCAGTATTTCCATGTATCAATAGGATGTATTTTATTAACATTCACAACAATCTATTTATTTGAACTTCAGTTTCCTACTGTGACCCAATTAAACAGAAAAGGAAGATCCTGGCTATGCGAGGATGATTCAGTGATGGCCCCCACATAACCACCCCTGGTGATTCACCTTCCCCAGTTACTCAATCAACACTACTGTAGGTGCCGCTGTGAAGGGATTCTGCAGATATAAGCAAGGTCCCAAATCAGTTGACTTTAAGGCCATGATTATCCTGCCTTGGACTGTCCTAATCAGGTGAGCTCTTAAAACAACTTATTTCTTCTTCAGCAAAGAGATTCACAGTGTGAGCGAGATTCAACGTGAGGGGCTTCCTCCGCTGTGAGCTTTGAAAATGAAGGGGCCATGTGGCAAAGGATATGGCGGGCTCCAGGAATTGAGAGCAGCTCCACCCCACCTCCACCTGACAGCTGCCCAGGAACAAGGACTACAATCTCACAACTGCCTGAAACTGAATTCTGCCACCAAGCTCTGTATAAGCTTGAAGGAGGACCCCAGCCTCAAGATGAGGACACAGCTTCGTGAAATCCTGAACTGAGAATCATTCACACCAGGCCTGGATTTCTCATTAAGGAAATGTAGAGAAATAAATGGGTGCTGTGTAGAGCCAGTGAGTTAGTGGTAATATGTTATGCAGTAACAGAAAATTCATACATAGGCCAACAGATAAGCATATAACATTTTCTCTATTGGAATAAACTAGTGAATTGAAATGTACACTCCTTGTATAAGGTAAAATCTTTCCTAATTTTTTGGTATTCTTCATTTTATAATTTTTATGCAATGCAATTACATTTTAATACAATCATATTCATGAATTCACCAAAGACCAAAGCTAACTTTGTATCTACTATGTACCAAGTATGTCTTTACATACCGTGCAGTTGGTTCAGTCCTCACACCTGCTTTCCTCATGTTTCCTGCCCTGGGTCTGCAGTCACAGTTTTGGAAACTTCTCTGGGGTCCAAGACTAGGGGGTTCCTCTAGGACCTCATGGCCCTGTCTCCTCCCTAGCCCCTCACAGGATGATTTCTTCCCAGAGGCAGAGAAGGAGGTGCTCAGGCTGTGTGTAACTATGGGAGACGGATGTGGAGGAGCTCACCTATGCCATAATTCCTCCTCTCCCACATCTCCTGCAGGCTCTGACCAGGTCCTGTTTTTGTTCTACCCCAGGCAGTGACAGTGACCAGGGCTGTGATGTGTCTCTCACAGCTTGTAAAGGTGGCGTCCTGGAGGGCCTTATGTGGAAGGGGGATGGGGTACAGGGGACAAGACTGGATTACGGTGATTCTTTGGGACACTTTGAGTGTGTAGTGGGGAGTTCAGAGTGTTACGCTTTATGGCCACTGACCTGAATTTGTTCATGACTATTGTTTTCTGTAGCCTGAGGCAGCTGTCTTGTGAGGGACTGAGATGCAGTATTTCTTCATGCCTCCCCTTTGTGACTTCAAGAGCCTCTGGTGTCTCTTTCTGCAAAGGCATCTGAATGTGTCTGCGTCCCTGTTAGCCTAATGTGAGAAGGTGGAGAGACCAGCCCTCCCCCATGTCTACCATGACCCCCTTCCCCATGCTGAATTAGCTGACTTTACAAAAAGAAAATTACCATCAATAATGTGGATGGGCTTCACCCGATCAGTAGAAGACTCTGAGAGCAGAAACTGAGGTTTCCCAGAGAAGAAGAAATCCTGCCTCAGAATTAGAACATCTTCTTTCTGCGTTTTCAGCCTGCTAGCTTATCCTGCAGATTTTCATACTTACCGCCCTAATAATCACATGAATAAATATCATAATATGAATACAAATACAAATACACACACACACACACACACACACACACACACACACACACACACACCCTATTGATTCTGCTTCTCTGAAGAATCTGGACTGATAGAGACTGTGGTACGAAGAGTGGTTCTAGAGGAACAGAATCTTTTTAAAAATTTTATAGCTAACCATAAAAAATACTTTATTAAAATGTTGAAATGTATATAAGCATAATTATAAATTAGCAATTAAGAATTTAATTGGCAAAGAAGAGAAGAATTGTTTTCTTTTCCTAATACAGTACAAGCAACAGTAATTTGGATCTTCCTCACTTTCAGCCACCATTTGCCCTAGGTGTCCTTCACTCAAGCTTCTGGCTTGTGTTTTGGAGTGAAAATTCACATGGATACTAAGAAGCAACTCTAATAATGTGAATCAGGTATCAAAAACTCCTTATGGCATGTTAACATGTAATGATGGTTCATATATATTCCAACATCTCACAACAGGCAAGCATTATTTCCAGAAGAAAATTAAGTCACTTTTGTAGCTGCTAGTGAATGTTCTACAAATGAACACTGAAGATTTAAGGCATTGCTCTGCTCTGGAGTGGTGCTTCTGTGGCTCCAGCAAACTGTACAAAGGCTTTCTTTAATAATATATATATTATTTTATATACACAAATATTATATATATACACACCCCCTGAAACTAAAAGTTGAAAAAAGAAAAAATACAAATGTATCTTCTGTGATAGTTCAATTACTTCACTCCATCGATGATTTTCTTGGGCATAGAACTGAAACTATCAGTCAATGATGTGTGTTTATACACCTTGCTGTGATTCAGTGGTTATGAGCAAATGGTCTTCCATTTCCTATTGCCACTATAACATGGTTATTTGTCCCCGATCTAACAACTCCTTCTCCAGCTCCATTCTCTGGCCCCTGAGATTAATAGTCCAAGTGGTATTTTGGGTCACTGAGTGGTTAGACAGGACAAGGTTGATTTGAGCTAATACTTCTGGCATGTCCATTTTGATTTGTAACAGAAGCTTTTTCTGGATTCATCCCCTACAAGGTGAGATGGAAAACTACAACCATCACCCACGCTTGAAAATACGGGAGGTAGCCAGTGTTTCTCTTTATGGCCAAACACTTGTCTCTAATTTTTACTATTGTCCTGTTTTTTTAAACCAACCAGCAGTAGTAGCTGAAAAGAGAGAGACACTGAAGAAGAACTTTGCAGGCACAAAGAAAAGGAAAAGTATGTGGAGCTTTGCTGTGTATCTGTCAGTTCATCCTACTCCACTAGAACCTGGCATTCTCAGGACTTGATGTCCTGCAGGCCCCCAGCTGAGGGCAGCGAGCACCCTGAGAGCCAGCTGGACTCCCCTCTTGGAGTGTAATCGCACAGCAACAGCATCTGCATATAGAGTTGTCCTGCACTTCTGGAACCGTCTCTGTTGGTCATGGGGGCTACTGTGACATTGTCCTTTCTTCTGTTATCCTTTCTTCCTCTGTCTTGTTGCTAGGGATAACTTTGCCCCTGCTGGCATCATGTCCTGAAGAGCTGAGGATGACACATCCTGGCTGGCGTCCTCCCTGGTCGGCCTTGGGTCACTGTCTAAGTGTTAAGTGTTGCCTGTGGCAGGAGGTTGTGGGAATGAGCGGCACCGCCTCACGGAGCTGTCCCTGTGGGAGTGGCCTGCAGGTGTTTGTACCTGTGGCATTTTCACAACTCTTTCCAAGACTCAAGAATGTGCTGTGGGAGGAGAGCAGGTCTGGGTCCTCCCCTGTGTCCCCCATCTACTCATCTGGGTGGCTGTGGGACTGACGTTGTCAGAAATGAGAAACGCTGCCCCTTCACAAGGCACTACCTAGTTTTTCTCTTCTGGAAGGTGGCAGCACAATGCCCAGGTTGAGATGGACACAGGCGTCAGCATCCTAAAGTAAAACATGTGATTCTAATAGAAATACCCGAGCTTTTCAATGTGAATGAACAGGACCTTCCACCCTCTGGCAACTACGTATTTTTCCTTGAGATTTGACAAAAAAAAAAAAAAAAAAAAAAAAAAAAAAAAAAGGAAAGAAAGAAAAAGAAAGAAAGAAACAATAATGGGAAAAAAAAAAAGCAGAAGAAGGTGTGGTGGCTGGGGTGTGGGGAGCTGGGACCCTGGCCCTGTGCAGGTGAGTTGCCAGGTGCTTCTGGGGAGGCCACCACCATCCTGGGCTCTGGCAGGTTGAGGCACCACAGAGCCAGCCTTCCTGACGATGCCGTCTGTCCCAGTGGCTCACCAGAAGCCACAGCGCCCAGATTAGTTTTGTGTTGATAGAAATTTTTAAAGTATTATGTTACATAATTTTACGCTTTTTGAGGAGGCAAATAAGTCTTTCTGGCTAAGTTGCTCCTCATGGCAATCTCTCTGATGTGCTTGAAGACGGCCAGATCTGTGGGGTTCCCACCGTCAGTGAATACTTGTGCTTCCCTGCGGGGTCTATTTTCAGGGGTCTTTGCCTGTTGGTTGCCCCTAAGACTGCTGACCTCACGCCCTTTGGTGGAAGCCATGCTCTTCCTTGCTCCCTGAGGGTTGGAAAACTGGAAAATTACGGTCGATGAGGATAGACAGTAACATTTGTTCTGTGTGGCACTGTCATCACCCGCACTTGAAGGTGAAGCCATGTTTCAGGAAGTACAAAACGTGGCCCCATCCCTTGGCTGCCAAGTGGCCTAGTGGCAATGTGAGCCCGAGTGGACGACACTGTGACACAGGACAGGGTGGATTCAAGGGCTCCTTCCCAGCTCAGGGATTAACTGCAGGGCTGGGGGTAACCGGGGCTGAGAGGAACCTGGAGACGTGCTGGTGTGTGGCCGGGTGAGAGCCTGGAGACAGCCTCCACCTGTCCTCACAGTACCTGGGGGAGACATACTGAGGAGGGGGCACCTGCCCCTCCACTCTGCCTCACCATTGTCCCCCATCTCACTGGCATCCCTGGTGTCCACCAGGCACTTTTCACGTGTCTCCTCCTTAACCTTCAGAACTTCTCCGTGAGGTCAGTGTTGGGTTTGAATTTCTGGAGTTGAGGGAAGACTTTGAGCCCGGGAGACTCCCTAGGGAGGGGTCCACATTCCATAACTGACGCCACAGTTGAGCCCCAGCAGTTCGGACTTCGGACCCCAGAGTGTTCTGAGCTCTGAGTTGCTCTGGGCTGGCAGTGCCCTGTGCCAGCTGCACTGAGGCAGCCGTGTTCCTGCTGGTCCTACAGGTTTCCCCACCTGAAACCAGAAGCAGATCAGGATTTCCCAAATTCTCTCTAGCCCTGATGGGTGACATCTCCACTGTTTTAATGAGGCAATAATTGCAGCTACTACTTCTGTGGTGGGTGTTGCCATGTTCCAGGCATCTTTCTGGGTACTTGGCATATGTAAACACACGCATTTACAATGGAAGCTCGTGAAGCACAGAGAGGTTAAGTGACTTGGTCAAGGTCACACAGCAGTAAGTAATGGAGCTGGAATTTGAGCTGAGACAATCTGCTGGCATCATGTCAGATACAGTGAGATGACTGGAGGTGGGAAGAAGCTGGGGTGTGTTGATTACACAGAGTACACATGGCCTCTGTAGTAAGCTGGAGCCTTTGGCCACCCAGAGGTGGATTTGTGCATGAGCCGAGGACAGGTTTCTAATGTGCCAGATGAGGTGAGTAGGAGATTATGCACTTGTGTCTTCAGCCTTGTCCTCCACGTCTTTGTCATCTCCTGAGGATGGAGCATCTGTCATGTGCACACTGAGTGGCACCGCTCATGCTGGGTGAGTCGCTGCAGCTGCAGGCCCCCAGGGTCCTCGTGAGAGGCAGTCAGCACCTGCAGCTGCTGGGGCTCCACCAGGATGCATTTTGAGGACACCAGCTCTGCACCATTCTTGACCCAGACAGTGGGCCCCATGGGACCACCTCCAGGCAGGGAGCAACTCAGCCCTGCGGTGTCCCGGAGGCCAAAGAACAACTGCTCCTGATGGTTTCAAGACCTCAGCGGGAGGCTGCAGCAGGCCTTGAGTGAGGGAGGATCAGCTCCCAGAGCCTGGGTCCTGCCAGACAACACTCAAACCAGGGGCTGGTAAATAATCCCCAAAAGGACCTGAGGCAACATTTTCAACTTTGCCAACCAGTCTCTATACCAAAGACTTAACTCTGCCCTTGTAGCATGAAGCAGCCTTCCATAGACATCCTGATGGTCTCCCCCAGGCAGGCTGCTCCCAGTCCTAGGGGATCAGAAGTAGCGGCTGAATAGCCACAGCCATACAAAGCACTAGGGTACAGGCCAGGGTGTCTGTGGCAGGGGCTGGGGCTGCAGTTTGTCAGGCAGCATGCAGAGGCATGCTGCTCCCCACAGCTTAGCTTGGCACTAGCAGGAGGAGAGTGCCCCTTAGAAGCCTAGGGGCCACTGGAGCCCGACTCAGTGTGTGCAACTCCCGAATAGGCTTGGTGCCCATAAATCCAGCACCATTCTGGGCTGCTGACCCACCAGTGCATAGTGCACCCCAGCTGAGCCAGCTGTCCTTGGCCCACCAAGCCTCAGACCATGCCCAGCCTAGCTTACTGGGGCATAGGGACACTGGAACAGAATTTTAAGAATGAATGCACTGAATTTGGTGGTGGGGGGGGGTTTCTTGAATTGTTTCTCTAATCTATTTGGATTTAAAGGCACAAATGACTCTATTTCCATTAGTACAGAGAGTGTGAATACTCAGAATATCACCATTGGATAGACCTAATCAAATACTTATAAGATCTGGGTGACTATGTATTTGAGACCTTAGAAGACTTTGTTAAACTAGCTATTGTAAGGTGATTAGTTAATTTTTGCCAATTGTGCTGGACAAAATGGGGAAAGAAAAAGATGAACTCAGGGCTGCAAACTTCCAGCTCATGAGTCACATAAATCACCTAAAAGTTTCTATGTTTCCTTTGAATGAAATCCTAATCTCCTGTAGCTGCAGGGCTGAAATTTCTGAAAAATAAACGCAGCGTCTCATTCTGTGCGTAGCTAAATTACAACACAAAACAAATCCCAAACTTAAAGAATATCTGTTATTTAAGTGAAGGCATTGATTGGGAATAAATGCGATACTGAAAATCAGAATGGGGACATCTGGGCAGATCCTGATGAAGCTAAAGACACTGAACTCCTAAATTCCTCTGAGAATTATTTGCCAGTTTCATTCAACCACATTTGGCGAGGTTAATCCAGCTTTCCCTAACGAAAAGGTAATGGTCTTCTCTGAGGGAGTTGCCCTCAAGACCCTGTGATTCCACTCAACATTCACCCCCAACACCCCTCTGTGATTCCAGATGCGTAAATAGCCTTGAGTCCTAGCATGTCCTGAAAGGTGAGGTGGAATATGTCAGTATGACGATTTAGAGAACCAATGTGACAATGTGATGAAAATAATTAAAAATGTTTAAAAGTCTGTGTCCTAATGTTTATCACTTGAGTATTCTAAGTATTCTATGAATTTTCTAAAATTCCAAACATAGAAGAATCTTTCTATATAAAGATGCTTGTCAAAACATTATTTACAACAAGACGAAATGAAGGCAGACGGATCCAAAAAAAGAAGTTGGGTTACATCTTCTTATCTGAAATGAGATATGGCTTGTAAAAGTGTATAAACTTTATGCAGAGCTTATAACATGGAAAACTACTTGTATAATAATACATTCCAAAAGCAACATCCAAGATAACCCTTAACATATGAATGCAACTTTGTAAAATGACAGCATATATAAAAATACATACATAGAAAATAACGAAATGAAAATCAGCACCACTGCACAAGACAGCTCCAGGGACCACCATTTGCACTGCAGTCTACAAAGGTTCAACAATATAATAGCAGTGATTTTTTAAAGAAAGGCCTAGGTGATGTTTCTAACTGTCTGTGCATTTTAACGTCTTCTGTGATCAAATAGGGTTTCACTTTTGAATATAAAAACATATATTTTAACATTTAAAATAAAGCATTTGAAGTAAAATAACAATGAAATGAGGCCAGACATGGTGGCATGCACCTGTAGTCCCAGCTACTCAGGAGGCCGAGGCTGGAACATTGCTGGAGCCCAGAAGTTCAAGGACGTAGTCCACTATGATCACAGCTGTGAATAGTCACTGCACTCCAGCCTGGGCAACATAGCAAGACCTTATCTCTATTATAATACTAGTAATAGTCATAATCTTCTTTCTCCCTCAGGCTAAAGCTACTTTCTCATTTGAACCCAAAGGGCAGAAATGTCTACCGAGTGCTCCACCAGAGAAAAGAAATGAGTTCTTCCTTCACAATCCATGATCCAATTTTTGGTTATAGAGTTCAGCTGAGCAATAAAGGCAACACTAAGAACACCATCAATATATAGATTACGGATTGTCATGTATGTGTTCATGTATAAATGTGTGTGTCTACATATATATATATAATTACCACAACACCTGAAAGAGGGAGATGGATTCTTCCATTTCATAGATGAAAATCTGAGCCCCTGTGTACTTTGAGGCTTGGTCTGGGTTCACTGAATATTAGCCTTGAGAACTGGGAGACACTAAGCCTCCTGCAGAGCCCATCTAGGCATGAGCCACACCAGTGGAGACTCCTCAACAGCAGGAAGAGCAACTGAGATCCAGGAATGTCCACACTTGTAGAGGGTCCACGTCCAGTGGAATACAACTGAAGGATGGGTGAAGGGTACAGTCTAGCTGCTTCCTTCAGCTGGGGGTGGTAGATGGGTGGGTCAGTCAGCTACCCATGAGGTGTATCATGTTCCTAGGGCTGTCTTTCATTCCTCTGCTGAGAACTCCATCCTGCACAGACAAAAACCATATATTCACTGGTGAGCAGGATCCTTTTTAGAAATGCAAACATAACTTCCCTAACATTAAAGCCAAACATTCTTTCTCCCAGTGAACCATCTTATTTGGATAATCTCCTAACTTCCCCTGAAGTTAGCCCCAGAGTTGCATCTGAGCATTTGGAAGCAAGACAGAAAGTCATTTTGGGGTTTGGACCTGGCTGATCTTGGACCGTGTTCTGAAAGTGTGGGCGGCAAGCCACCCAGGTGCCGAGGCAAGAGACTGAGGACACGAGCTGTTCCAGTATAATAAAATATAAAACAAGAATAGTTGTACCAGATATAGAACTTAGATATGATTATATATGAATATCATTAATCATTAGTTGGTAGCAATTACTCTTTATTCCAATATTATAATAATCCTCACTCTATAATCATAACCTAAGAAAAACCAGGCTATAGAGCGATAGGAGATGAGGGGACATAGTGAGTTGTGACCAGAAGACAAGAGTGCGAGCCTTCTGTTATGCCCGGACAGGGCCACCAGAGCGCTCCTTGGTCTAGCGGTGACGCCAGCGTCTGGGAAGACGCCCGTTGCCAGGCAGACCATGGTCTAGTGGTAGTGAAAAGTGTCAAGGAAAAACACCCACTACTTAGCACACTTAGAGTTTAGAGAAGACTCTGCTCCTCCACCTCTTGTGGAGGGCCTGACATCAGTCAGGCTTGCCCGCAGCTATCCGGAGGCCTAACCGTCTCCCTGTGATGCTGTGCTTCAGTGGTCATGCTCCTAGTCTGCCTTCATGTTCCATCCTGTACACCTGGCTCTGCCTTCTAGATAGCAGTAGTCAATTAGTGAAAGTACTAAAAGTCTCTGATATGCAGAAATAATGGCGTAAGCTGTCTTTCTCTTTGTCTCCTCTCTCTCTCTGCCTTGGCTGCCAGGCAGGGAAGGGCCCCCTGTCCAGTGGACACATGACCCATGTGACCTTACCTATCACTGGAGATGACTCACACTCTTTACCCTGCCCCTTTTGCTTTGTATCCAATAAATAACAGAGCAGCCAGACATTCGGGGCCACTATTGGTCTCCGTGCGTTTGTGGTAGTGGTCCCCTGGCCCAGCTGTCTTTTCTTTTATCTCTTTGTCTTGTGTCTTTATTTCTACACTCTCTCATCACCGCACACAGGGAGAGACCCACCGACCCTGTGGGGCTGGTCCCTGCATGAAAGGAGGCTTTCTACTTGCAGAAGAGCAAGGGTGAGCTCTGAATAAGAGATGAAATCCTGAGGAGAAAAGACAGATGGGCAGATTCCCAAGCAAACTTGGAATATATTTGCCAGCCTCTTTTTAGTTGTGATAAAATGCACGTAAACACAAAATTTGCCATTGTGACCATTTAAGTGTACAAAGCAGTAACATTTAGTAGGTGCACAACGTTATGCAGCCATCATCACTATCAAGTTCCAGAGCATTTTCACCACCCTAGAAGGAAACTCTGTACCCGTTAAGCAGTCACCTTCCACTCTCCCCTGCCACCAGCCCCTGGCACCATTAACCCAGTTTCTGTCTCTCTAGATTTTCTTCTTCTGAATATTTTATTAAAATGGAGTCATACAATATATGGCCTTTTGTGACTGGCTTCTTTCATTTGACATGTTTTCAAGGTTCATCCAAGTTGTAGCATGTATCAGTACATTATTCCTTTTGTGGTCAAATAATATTCCATTGCAGAATAGATTACATGTTGTTTATCCACTCATCGGTTGATGGGCATTTTCTTTTAAATTAAATAGAGAAAACAAAAGAGGAGTTACAAATTACCACCCCCCAAAAAATACTTGCTTTTCTATTTACCTATGAAGTTACTTTTAGCTGTGTACTTCTTTGCTTCATATGACTTCGAGTTGCCATCTAATGTCCTTTTATTTCAGTGTGAAGCACTCCTTTTAGCATTAATTGTAGAATAGGTTTACCAGACACGAATGCCATCAGCTTTTATTTACCTGTGCATGTCTGAATTTCTCCATTATTTCTCATGGAGAGTTTTGCCAAATATGCAACTGTCAGTTGAGACAGGTTTTTTTTTTCTTTCTGAACTTTAAGTTTGTCATGCCAATGTCTTCTGAACTCCATGGTTTCTGAAGAACACTTGGCAGTTAATCTCATGGAGGATCCTTGCACTCAATGAGTCCCTTCTCTTGTTGTTTTCAAGATGCTCTGTTTGTCTTTGACTTTCAACAGTTTCAATATAATGTCTGTCAGTGTGGACATCTTTGAATTACTGCTACTTTAAATGTTTGAGTGTTTTGGATACCCAGATTCATGTTTTCAAAAAAATTTCGGAAGTTTGGGGTCATTATTTCTTCAAATACTCTTTCTCCCCCCTTCTTCCTTCTCTCTTTTGGGAACTCCCAAAATGCATATACTTGATGTTGTCTCTTAGATCTCTTTTGTTCTTTTTTCTTCATACTTTTTCCCTTCTGCTCCTCAAATGGGCAAATTCAATTGGCCTATGTTTGCGTTTACTGATTCTTCATTCTGCAAACTAAAATCTGCTCTTGAAGCCCTCCAGTCAATTTTCCATTTTGCTTCCCGTACATTTCAGCTCCAGATTTCCATTTGCTTCCTTTTCACAATTATTTATTGATTTCTGCTATTTAGTGAAACATAGTCCTCCTGATTTTCTTTAGTTATTTGTCCATGGTTTCCTTTAGCTCTTTGACTATGTTTAAGACAGTTGATTCAAAGTCTTTGTCTAGTAAGTCAGTCCATTGTTCTTCAGGAACAATTTCTTTCTATTGCTTTTCCTGTGAATGAGTCATACTTTCATACATGCATAACTCATGTTTTTTGAAGTTGAAAACTAGACATTTTCAATATTATAATGTGGTAACTGTGAAAATTACATTTTCTAAACTATTTTTGTATAGACTGTATTCTTTATTGTATGTGGTCACTGAAGTCTCATAGTTGTAGATGTGTGGTCTTATTTCTGAGTTCTCTATTCTATTCCATTGGTCTATGTGTCTGTTTTTGTATCAGTACCATGCTGTTTTGGTTACTGTAGCCTTGTAGTATAGTTTGAAGTCAAGTAGCATGATGCCTCCAGCTTTGTTCTTTCTGCTTAGGATTGTCTTGGCTATACAAGTTCTTTTTGGTTCTGTATGAATTTTATTTTTATTTTAATTTTTTTTCAATTTAAATAATCAGTAATGTATAACTTTATTCATTAAATATAAAATAATTTGAAAACAATCTTTCTTTTGAAAATTTAAGATTGACAAAAAAATCAACTAAAAAGAATAGTGGCTGAAATTGAATAAAATAGCAAGAACTTCAATGATATATTTGTTAAAACATTTTGAAACAATGCTCTCCATAGACACATTCATCCACTGTTTGCTGGAACATAAATTCCTCATTTAATATTACTGAGCCAATTTAGAATGACATCATTAAATGTAGTTTTTTAAATGTTTTAGTTAGTACTAAAAAAAGACAATTCTCTGAATCTGAAATATTTCTTTTTTCAACCCCTACCTTATTATGTAGTAGCTTTTTAAAATTTTAGGCTGACTTGAATAGCATGGTAAATTATCTTAAAACTGGGGAAAACTTTTTCATGTTCAGATTTAAAAAAAAAAACCTATAATCACTGACATGTCCAATTTCTGATTTTTCAAATAAGATTTCTTGTCTGCAACAATAAACATTTTAAGTAAAGCTATTTTTAAGATTAAATACATTTATTTTTAAATGAAGCCTGATTTTCTATAATCCATATCAATGATTCTCAAACTCTTTCCATAGAAGCACACTTAAAAACAGCAGAGTAAAACATTTTTCTTGAGGACATGAGCTTAATCTCATTAGCTCAAGACAAGCTCCAAATGGCTTGAAAACTTTGAGTTTTATTTTATATATTAATTTTAATTTTACCTTTAATGTCAATCATCTATATGAATTTTAAAATAGTTTCTTCTAATTCTGTGAGAAATGTCAATGGTAGTTGAATGAGAATAGCATTGAATCTATAAATTACTTTGGGCAGTATGACCATTTTCACAATATTGATTCTTTCTATCCCTGAGCATGGAGTGTTTTTCCATTTGTCTGTGTCCTCTCTGAGTTACTTAAGAAGCGGTTTGTAGTTCTCCTTGAAGAGATCCTTCAATTCCCTTGTGAGCTGTATTCCTAGGCATCTTATTCTGTTTGTAGCAATTGTGAATAGAAGTTTATTCACGATTTGACTCTCTGCTTGTCTATTGTTGGTGTATAGGAATGCTTGTGGCTTCTGCACACTGATTTTGTATCCTGAGACTTAACTGAAGTTGCTTTTCAGCTTAAGAAGCTTTTCAGCCGAAACAATGGGGTTTTCTAGATATAGGATCATGTCACTTGCAAACAAAGACAATTTGACTTCCTCTCTTCCTATTTGAATATCCTTTCTTTCTCTTACCTGATTGTCCTGGCCAGAACTTCCAATACTGTGTTGAACAGGAATGGTGAGAGAGGGCATCCTTGCCTTGTGCTGGTGTTAAAGGGGAATGCTTCCAGCTTTTGCGCATTCAGTATGATACTGGTTGTGGGTTTGTCATAGATGACTTTTATTATTTTGAGGTATGTTCCTTCAATACCTAGTTTATTGAGAGTTTAAAAATATGGAATGCTTCATGAATTTGCATGTCACCCTTGTGCAGGGGCCGTGCTGATCTTCTCTGTATCATTCCTATTTTAATATATGTGCTGCCAAAGCGAGTACTGATCACAAGTTCTTAGAAGTGGAGATAACTGAAGAAACGTGGGTGAGATGGAGTGTTGAGTTTCATCTGCAGTAATTTCTGCATCTAATAAAACATCATTATCTCTGTCTTTTATTCTTTAATTAAGTGGTAAAATGCATTACAGATTTAAAGTTTAAATATTCTTGTATTCTGGGGATGAATAACCTGGGCAGGATATTTAATTTTTTTATAGTTCACTGGTGGACACAATCTAGTACTATTTTTCTCAGTATTTTTACCTCTAATTGCTTAGAAATGATTATCTTATCATGCTTTTCTCTTATGTATTCCCTAGCTGGCTTTAGAATCAATGTTATTTATACATAAACAATAATGAGTTTACTGGCTTTCTCTATGTTTCCTCATTCTCTTGAATATTACGTATAAGTTCAGTAACCTTCTTCAAAGTTTTGGTAGAACTTATGTGTAAAACAGTCTAAAGTTTTACAACTGTTTTAACTTCTTTACTTGTAGTAAGTTCTCCCCATTGCCATAATCTTGTTCATAGTCTCAAAATTATTTAAACCTCTACTATATCTTTAGTGGCATATTTATCTATCATAATGTTATTTTATTCTTAATTACCATTGCCTGTTTTATTTCTCCGTCAAAAAAACAGCTGCTTTTGGTGGGCTGGGCCCTCAGCAGTGGCAGCTGCCAGGTCAGCCTTGGTGAGTGGCGACGCAATTGCTGTGCCCTTGCAGTGTCCATCGCAGCCACCACGGCCACTTTATGCAGGGACTCCATGAGCAAGGCCTGTGTGGCTGAGTGGCATCGTCCATCAAGCCATCTCACCCACCTGGTTACAGGGAGCCCCATCCCCTTAAAGACCCTCTGGTAGGCATCCACACACAACCACTATTGTCACACACTCGGCCTATAGCAAGAGGTCTATGCGTACCTCTCTCCTCTACCTCCCAGTTTTCCAACTCTATTTTCCTCAAGTTTGTGACTGGCCAGCCAAGCCATGAGCCACTGCTCATGACTCGTTCATTCATGCACTATTGGACATCATTTCACACCCCCCACCTCCTATGGGTTTGTTTGGGTTTGATCCCCAGTTCCTGGCTCGAGAGCCATTTCCAAAGCTGTTCTGGTGTCAGCTCCCAAACCTACTGCTCTTGTTGTAGATTTTCCTCTTTATATGTATTTGTTTCCTGGAATTAAAAACAATTGCACTAATTTTTTCAATCCAGCATTTCCAAGGATGTGCAGTAGGAGTGATTCTTCTTAGCGTAGATAGAATTGCTTCAAAACATCAGCAAAATATATTTGAGTGAAGGACAGCATGCGTGGAGAAAGAAGGACAATCCACAAGTGGGCAGTGGAGTTTCACATAGTGAACACTCAGGTAAACAACACCCACATCAAAGTACACCAATCACAGCCTCCCAGAAACATCACTGGATCTTACTCAGTCACAAACCACCCTCCCCAACCCTAGAGTAGCCACTCCTGATTTCTAACACAGATAAGTTCTGCCAGTTCCAGTTGAATGGCATTATACAGTCACCATCATGCCCCTGGGTCTCATCATCCTGCTGTGTGTGGTCATAGCCTATTCACTCCCATGGCTGTCCAATGCTCCACTTTATAAATAACTCACATTTCTTGTCCCTTCGCTGTTGATAGACAATTGTGTTATATCCAGATTTTACAAATCGTGATGCTATGAATAATATTTTCATATATTTTGGCACACACATACATGCATTTCTATTGGTTGATAACTAAGACTGCTATTGCTGGGTCATAGGTGAGTAGATGCTTGGCTTAGTCTCTCAAAAAGCAAGTTTCTAGTAGTAAACAAACAGTACAGGAGGGTGAATCTCTTACTTAGAAATTATTCAGATAATAAATGAGGAAGGAATGAGAGACTGAGACTATAATAACTCTTTTGCAACCCATCAAGAATTAACAGATTTAACCATTGAACAGCAATAGCGATTAACAACACAATAAAAAAAACTAATGTGAGGTTCTTCCTCTTGATGGAAGAACACAATACAGCACCATCAAACAAATACAAGTGAGAAAGAAATCAAGCCTGAATAGAAGCTAACCTCCATAGCCAATTACCAATTTAGAGGCAATACAGATAATAAAAACACATATTCAAACAATGGCTTGGGGAGCAATCAGCAAAATGCACACTATGGGAAGCTCTACCACACAATATAAATTTCAAGAAAGAATCTATAGAATAAAAGAGAACAAAAGCATGTTTCTAAAGGTAAAACTAAATCATAGTTTTGGATGATAAAAATATAAAATAGAACAAAGAAGTTATGATCGGAAAAGTCAGGATGTATTTTTATTTGGGGGAGGAAAGAGTTTATTGCTGAGCTGGGGCAAATGATGGGGCTTCTGGTTTGCTCCGCAAACGTCTATCCTTGGTGGTTAATGGGTGTTTACTGTTTATTAAAGGACACAAATTTTAGACCTTCTTTTTTTCCTTTTGGAGTCCTAGATTTTATTTTATGACACAAAGGCTAATGAAAAAATAATTTATAGAGTATAGTTACTGTTTTGCACGAAGCGCCCTCCCCGTCTTCCCTCTGAGCACCCAGGACAACCAGCAGCCCCAGGACCCCCAGAAGGGGTGACCTCACTTCTAGGTGTGCATGCAGCTCACATCACCAGAGGCAATATGCAGGTCTACTCCTGGACTCCTGGAAGAACCTGATAGGACACAGCTGAAGGGAAGCCTTCCCCGCCATCTGCAGGCTCTTGGCCATCAGTGTAGAGGGAGCGGGTCCTCACCTCTCCACAGGCGCCTTCACGGCCAGAGCCTCCTCTCTGCATGGGGAGTAAGGCCTGGCCCTTCCCCTGAACACGGTGACATGGATCTCGCCAAAGGTGGAGATAACACCATTCCTCCCCCACCAACCTCACGCTTCTTTTGCTTTACAGGAAGATTGACGCGGGCTGGTGTCCAGTGAAGAAATGCGTGGTGCGTAGGAAGGAGAGGTGGATCTCAGGGCTGTGCGTGATCTGCAAAGGAAGCGCATCGACCACCAGGTGGCGCTGCTGCGCTGCTTCTGCTCCCAGGAGGTGGATGCCCAGGACGAGCTTTGAGGTGGAGAGAGGGATGTCATGGCTCATCCTCCAGTTTCCAAGTAAAAACCTTCCGGCCAATCTTGGCCGCGCGTCCTGGTGTAGCGAGCGGGCTTGGAGGAGCTCACCGCTGCTGTCATGGTTCGTTTGCTAAACTGCATCGTCGCTGTGTCTCAGAACATGGGCATCGGCAAGAACGGGGACCTGCCCTGGCCGCCGCTCAGGAATGAATTTAGGTATTTCCAGAGAATGACACAATCTCTTCAGTAGAAGGTAAACAGAATCTGGTGATTTTGTGTAGGAAGACCTGGTTCTCCATTCCTGGGAAGAATCGACTTTCAAAGGATAGAATTAATTTAGTTCTCAGCAGAGAACTCAAGGAACCTCCACAACGAGCTCATTTTCTTGCCAGAAGTCTGGATGAGATCTTAAAACTTACTTAACAACCAGAATTAGCAAATAGAGTAGACATGATTTGGATAGTTGGTGGCAGTTCTGTTTATAAGGAAGCCATGAGTCGCCCAGGCCATCTTAAACTATTTGTGACAAGGATCATGCAGGACTTTGAAAGTGACACGTTTTTTCCAGAAATTGATTTGGAGAAATATAAAATTCTGCCAGAATATCCAGGCGTTCTCTCGGATGTATTAAGTACAAATTTCAAGTATATGAGAAGAATGATTAATATGAAGGTGTTTTCTGGTTTATTTTAAGTTGTTCCCCCTCCCTCTGAAAAAAAAGTTTATATTTTTACATTAGAAAAAAAGACTTTTGTTGACTTTAGATCTTTGGATAATTATTTCTAAGCAACATGTTTTTACTCCCCACTAATCTTGACTATATCAGATACCACTTATGAAATATTCTTGCTATAATTAAGTGCCTCTCCAAGACCCTGACCGAGTCCCCAGCACCTGCTACAGTGAGCTGCCATTCCACACCCATCGCATATGGGACTCTTGCCAGTCCTTGACATTGTCGGGCTTTTCAAATGTTGGTAGTATTTCTTAAAGATGAAGATGCACATACCCTCCAACTGAGAAGTTTCACTAGTGGGAAATACCGAAAGCTCCTTACGTGTATACCCAGAGGTTTGCATGCAAATGTTGCAGCCTTGTTTGTAACAGTGAAAAATTGAAAACAACCTGGAAGTCCAGTGATGGGAAAATGAATATATTTCTGTCTTTTGGGGAACCCAAAGCAGGTTCCAAGACTGCAATTTCAGTGAAAGCAGTTTATTTTCTAGGTCTTACCAGAAATCATCAATTGAGGTACGGAGAAATGGAACTGAGAAGGTAAGAAAACCAGTTTAAAGCCAGTGAGCAGGTTCTCACTGGTAACAAACTCCATACTGCTGAGATACAGGGAAACGGAGGGGAGAAAGCTGGCATATTGATCCCCCACTCCTTGGTTGTCAGCTCCCTGTCCTGTGTGTGGGCAGAATGTACTCCAGCTGCTCTATAGCAAGTCCCAGGTGTTTGCAGTAAGAAGCTGCTGGCATGCATGTGAACGGTGAATGGCAAACACTTAAAGCAATTTCATGTTTAAGTATATAAGCTCTTCATATCTTTTTTTTTTTTTTTTGACAGAGTTTCGCTCTTGTTACCCTGACGGAGTGCAATGGCGCAACTTCAGCTCACTGCAACCTCTGACTTCCCAGGTTCAAATGATTCTCCTGCCTCAGGCTCCCATGTAGCTGGGACTACAGGCACGTGCCACGACGCCCGGCTAATTTTGTGTTTTTGGTGAAGACAGGGTTTCACAATGTTGGTCAGGCTGGTCTCGAACTCCTGACCTAAAGTGATCCGCCCGCCTCGGCCTCCCAAAGTGCTGGGATTACAGGCTTGAGCCACCCCAGATCTTTATTCTTTTTATGTAGTAAAAAGTATAAAGCCACGCATAGTTTATTTGAAATATTTTATGTTTTAAAAAAATACAGAAGCAGGAAAACCAATTCTAAGTTCAAGTGAGGGATGATGGTAGTTTGAACCAAAGGGTTGCATGTAGTAAGAAACTGTGATTTAAGATATATTTTAAAGTCAGAAGTAGCAGGATATTCTGATGGAGTTTGCCCTGGGTTTGGGCCCACTGAGTTTGAGATGCCTTTGAGAAATGAAGAAAGTAGAGAGAGAATAAAAGAAAAACTGGCCAGGCACAGTGGCTCATGCCTGTAATACAGTGGCTCAGCATTTTGGGAGGCAGAGACAGGCAGATACCTTGAGATCAGCTTGGGCAACATGGTGAAGCCCCATCTCTACAAAAAATACAAAAGTTAGCTGGGCATTGTGGCACACACCTGTAGTCCCATCTACTCAGGGAGCTGAGATGGAAGGATCAATTGAGCCTGCGAGTTCGAGGCTGCAGTGAGTTGTGATTGTGCCACTGCACTCCAGCCTGGGTGACAGAAGAGACCTTGTCTCGAAAAAGAAGCTGAAAACAATGGAACCATGCCTTCAGAATTCCAGAAAGAAAGTTATTTTCAACGAATAAATCTATATTCAGCCAAATAATCAAGGGTGAAGGTAAAATAATACATTTTTAGGCAAGCAAAGACTCAGGGGTTACCTCCATGTATCTGTTGTTGGGAAACTATTGGAGAAAATACTCCAGCAAAATGAAGGAGTAGACAAACCAGAGAATGACATGGATCCAGCAAATAGGATCCAACACAGGAAATATTCCAGCTATGGAGCTGGCTTTAAAAAGAAACAGTAAAAATATTAATCGGTTAGCTGGGTAGAATGGCCCATGCCTGTAGTTCCAGCCACTCAGGAGGCTAAGCAAGAGGTTGGCTTGAGCCCAAGATTTCCAGACCAGCCTGGCCACCATAGTAAGATTCCCTTCTCTTAAAAATAATAATAGGTTATTGCCAGATTTGGGGCATTTGGAAAGTAGTTCATTGAAGATAAAGCAAAAGTTAAAAAAAAAAAAAACAAGGGGGAAGGGTGGTTAGGCAATCATTAATTCTAGGGCAGAAGGAAGCACAAGACAGGAAGCAAGAGCATAATACTCTGTTTTTCTCAACAATGAGCAATATGTACATACTCATAATGATGTGGTGACTACTTAGCCCCTAAATCTGGTAACTACTTTGGGACAATATGGGGGGAAAAGTGAAGGTAGTGATGGTGTAAGAGCTAAATCCTCATCTGTCATATCAAGAAATTACTATAGAATGTATAAAATAATCAAGAAATGACTAAGTAGTTATGTGAGAAAAAAATAGAAGACATTGCTAAAAGAGTTAAAAGTCATTGCTCTGGAGAATTAGGAGGGATGGGGCAGGGGACTGTTAGGGTGCATTATAAACTGAAGAGGCTTTTTAAAATTACATGTATTAATATATGCACCCACTTGAAAAACTAAAAAAATAATAATTTGGAAAAACCCATGAAGGTAACTACCAGGAGGAAAAACTAAGAGAATGAAAAGTGCTTGCCTCTCGAGAGAACAACTGGCAGGACTGTTGTTTTCATTGTAAGACTTTTGGAGCCATTTGATTTTACTTAACCATTTTCATGTATTCCTTTAATAAAAACAACTCTATCATAATAAAAAGTCACACTTGTTCATAGAAAACAAACAAACAAACAAACAAAAAAACCTTCCTGCCCAGCCCATCTCATTCTCCCTGAATCCTCAGCGCTAATGAGGACTGTCTCCTTCTCACCTGCCTGGACTGGGCTTTTTAACACTGGAAAGTGGATGTGATTTCTAGTTTCAGCAGGTCCTGGTTTATTGTGCTGCCAGTAAAATAAAATCAAAATACACATTGAATAAATAATAAATAAAATAACCCATGGTGAGCAAAGGTTTACAATGTTTGTTGTTGTTGTTGTTGTTTGAGTCAAGATCCCACTCTGTGGTCTGGGCTGGAGTCCAGTGATGCGATCACAGCTCACTACAGACTTGAATCCATAAGCCCAAGGGATCTTCCCATCTCAGCCTCCCCAATACCTGGGAATACAAGTGCCCACCACCGTGCCCAGCTAAGTTTACTTATTTTTATATCTTTTAGAGACGAGGTTCTCACAATGTTGTTCAAGCTGGTCTCCAACTCCTGATCTCAAGCAATCCTCTTGCCTTAGCGTCCTGAATTGCTGGGATTACAGGAGTGAGCTGTCATGCCCAGCTTGTAATGTACTGACACCTTCAAGATTTCCTTCTCCAAGTGTGGACACAGCAGCAGACGCCCCTTGTCTCTTGGGTCAGGACACTGGGTAGAGTGGAAGAGCAAGACAACAAAGTCACTGCAGAAAGCATCCATGTGGAAGAGGTCCAGCAGGGAGGGCCAGCTGTCCCAGGGACACCATATTTAGGGATAACTCCTCTTTCTGGGCAGGACTGTTCTTTGATTACTTTTATATTCACGATAGTTCTGAAATCGTAGGATGATGAGACTCAAGACTGGCTAGGATTTGTTTTCAAAAAACCATCTCTGAGACTTGTCGATCTTTTGAATGGTTTTTAGTGTCCCAATTTCCTTCAGAACTTAACTCATTCTTAACATTTCACAGACTACTTTCAGTTAATAATGTACTAGTGCCCATAAATATAGCAATATTGCAACCATTTATCCTCTATAAAATGTCCATCTTTTATGGTATAGATATTATATGTAATATATCTATATAGGTTGTAAGTCCCAAGATAAAAAACTTTTTCTTATCTTTAAACAGTTCTATGTATATAAAGTAAGAATAAATGAGGGGAGCAAGATAGCCTTTTGCACTTAGCTCAATATTTACCATTTTTGATCATCTTCATCTTTTTTGATAATCTCATTTTCCACCTGGTATCATTTGCCTCTAGTCTGAAGAATTTTCTTTACCAATTGTAATTGTACAGATCTGCTGGTGACAAATTCTTTTAATTTTCTTTTACCTGAAATATCTCATTTGCCTATCCTTGAAGGACATCTATGCTGGATATAGAATTCTTAGTTGATCTTTTTGTCTTCCAGCACTTTAAAGATGTTATTCTACTTTCTTTTGTTTCTATGGTTTCTAATAAAAAGTCATTGATCAGGACAAGAGGAACAGAGAAACAAAAACCGGGAAAATAACATGGTAGACATGAAACTTATCATATCAATAATGACAAAAACCTATATGAATCAACACTCCAATGAAGGGCAGAGATTGTGTGACTTGGTTTAAAAAAACACGGAACCCAACCATACGCTCTTTCCAGACATGCAATTTCTTTTTTTTTTTTTTTAAATTTAACTTTTATTTTTAGTTAAGGGGTACATGTGCAGGTTTGTTATATAGGTAAACTTGTGTCATGGGGTTTTGTTTCACAAATTATTTCTATACCCATTAGTACCCACCCAAGTATTAAGTCTTAGTTCCCATTAGCTATTTTTCCTGATCCTCTCCCTCCTCCCACCCTCCACCCTCAAGTGGACCCCAGTGTGTGTTGTTCCCCTCTGCATGTCCATGTATTCTCATCATTTAGCTCCCACTTATAAGTGAGAACATGTGGTATATAGTTTTCTGTTCCTGTGTTAGTTTGCTAAGAATAATGGCCTCCAGCTCCATCCATGTTCCTGCAAAGGACGTAATCTCATTCTTTTTTATGGCTGTATAGTATTCTATGGTGTATATGTGCCACATTTTCTTTATCCAGTCTACCATTGATGGGCATTTAGGTTGATTCCAAGTCTTTGCTATTGTGAATAGTGCTTCAATGAACATATGTGTACATGTAAGTCATGCACTTTCTTTTTTTATTTAATTTATTTTATTTTGCTTTAAGTTCCAGATACATGTGCAGAACGTGCAGGTTTGTTACATACGTATAGTCTGCCATAGTGGTTTGCTGCACCTATTCACCCATCCTCTAAGTTCCCTCCTCTTACCCCCGACTCCCCAAAAGGCCCTGGTGTGTGTTGTTCCCCTCCCTGTGTCCATGTGTTCTCATTGTTCACCTCCCACTTAAGAGTGAGGACACCTGGTGTTAGGTTTTCTGTTCCCATGTTACTTTGCTGACGATGACTTCCAGCTTCATCCAAGTCCCTGCAAAGGACATGAACTCATTCCTTTTTATGGCTGTGTAGTATTCCATGGCGTATATCTACCACATTTTCTTTACCCAGACTATCATTGATGGGCATGTGGGTTGGTTCCATGTCTTTGCTATTGAAAATAGTGCTGCAATAAACATACCTGTGCATGTGTCTTTATAGTAGAATGATTGATATTCCTTTGGGTATATACCCAGTAAAGGGATTGCTGGGTCAAATAGTATTTCTGGTTCTACATCTTTGAGGAATGGTCACACCATCCTCCGTAATGGTTGAACTATTTTACATTCCCACCAACAGTGAAAAAGCATTCCTATTTCTCCACAGCCTCACCAGCATCTATTGTTTCCTCACTTTTTAATAATCGCCATTCTGGCTCGCAGGAGATAGTACATCATTGTGGTTTTGATTTGCTTTTCTCTAATGATCATTGATATTGAGCTTTTTTTTCATATGTTTTTTCTTCTGAGAAGTGTCTGTTCATACCCTTTGCCAATTTTTGATAGGGCTGTTTTTTTTCTTGTAAATTTGTTTAAGCTCCTTGTAAACATACATGTGAGCTCTCATCATTCTTGTTTAAACACCTAAGAGGCATCCAAATCAGTGCAACATGGCAAGAAAATGAAATAAGAAACCAATAGAAGGACCAGGCATGGTGGCTAATGCCTGTAATCCCTGCATTTTGGGAGGCTGAGGTGGAAGGATCACTTGAGTTCAGGAGTTTGAGACCAGCCTGATAGTGAGACCTCATCTCTACCAAATAAAAATAATTTTAAAAGAAAAAAGATCAATAGATAGGAAAGGAAGAAACAAAAGTCTTTGTCACCAACTTCATTGCATATGTAGAAAACACTAGGGAATTCTGAAAAAGTCTCTGGAATTAATCATTGAATTTGCAAAATAGTTCATAAAATATATGTAATAAGTCACTTAGATGAACATGAAAAGACAGCAAACAATACTAGTCATCAAAGAAGTGCAAGTTAAAACCACAATGAGAAACCATCACACATCACCTAGAATAGATAAAGTTAAAAAGACATTGGATAAGTCTAAATATTGTCAAGAATATGGAAAAAATAGGAATGTCTGATATTGCTGGTAGGAATGCAAAAAATGTGGCAGCCAATTTGTAAAGTGGTATGGCAGTTTCTTATACAGTTACCCATCTATTACCACATGGCCCAGCAATTCCACAAATATGTATTTATCCAAAAGAAATAAAAATGTAAGGCCACACTTGTAAGCAGTTATTTATAGTGGCTTCATTAATAACAAGCCCTAACTGGAGGAATCCACATGTCTATCAACTGGAGGCAGAGAAACCAATGAATAAGCTGGGATTCCCGCAATACTCAGCAGCTGCTCAGCAACAAAAATGAGTGAATGGCATCATCTCAAACATCGTTATGCTAAAGGAGAGACCAAACGAAGGACTACATAACATAAGACTGCACGTCCATTACATTCTAGAAATTTCAGTATTGCAGTGACAGAAAACAGAGTGGTGGTTGAGTGAAGGGAAGGGGTGAGGGTGGGAGGCAAGGATTAAATAGAAAGGGGCAGAAAGAAAGTTTTTAGGGAAAAGAAACGGTTCTCTACAGCGCCACAACTCAGGAGTGACTGGGTGGTGGGAACTAAGGGGAGAGGAGGGTGTGAGGGAAGAGGACAGAGAGAAGGGCTGGGGAAGCAGGAGGTGAGGACAAGGAGCAGGAGAAGGGACTCTAAAGCAGTGGAGGAGCCTAGCAGGGGATTCTTTGCATTCTGGGTTTCTCTACTGGGCAGTGTGGTAGTTACATGACTATAAATAATTACCAATATTTGCCAAAAAAGCGCAGCTAAAACTGGTGAATTTTATTACATATAAATGCCCTAATAAGCAAAAATAAATAAATAAATAAAAGGGGGGGAGGGGAGGCAAAAATAAAGACATTTTTAGATAATCAAAGCCATAAAATTAATTTCCTAGGGGTCCTGTACTACATTTAATTTAAAAGGAAGTGCTTCAGGGTGAAGGAAAATGATACTAGATGGTGACCCAGATATACAGAAAGGAACAATTAACAACAGAAATGATGCACATACACATGTCACATTCACACTCATTTTCTTAATTTCCTGAAGACATATGGCTACTTGTTTAAAACAAAAAGTATTACACTGTATCATTGAGCTTATAATATAGGTTGATGTAATATATACAACAATAATAGCACAATGGTAGGTTACAAGAAACTACACTGTTAGAAGTGTCCTTTATTTTCTGGATGCAGCTTAATATAACCTGAACTTCACTGTGAAAAGTCAAGGAATCGGGTTTCCATTCTTTGCTATTGTGTAAAGAAATATAGCCAAAAGCCACTAGGAGAATTAAAACCATAAACTAAAAAATGTTTATTTGACACATAAGAAAGTAGTAAAGGAGGAACAGAAACAAAAAGATATGAGACAAATTGAAAACATCTAGCAAAATGGTAGACCAAAACCCAACCATTGCAAGTGAAGAAATGACATGACCTGAGTCACATTAGCAGGACTGCTGAGCACTGTGGGGAGAACAGACATGGGCAGGAGGTGAGGGACAGTGTTAGTGCCACAATTCAGGAGTGAAAGGGTGGCGGGGACTAAGGGGAGCGGGGGTGTGAGGGATGAGAGGGGCAGAGAGAAGGGCTGGAGAGGCAGGAGGTGAGGAAAAGGAGCAGGGGAAAGAATTTTAAAGCAGTGGAAGAGTCTGGCAGAGGGTTCTTTGCATTCGGTATTTAATACATTTTGTTAGACTTCCTAAAAACTAATTGGCTCCTTATGATTAAAAAAAAAAGAGTTACAAAAATACCCAGTGTCCAGATAAAATATGCATACTGCTTAGATGTGCGGAGTTCAGGAAAACAGGCAGTGCTTGAGCGTCGGTGAAGAGCATTGGGACTGCATGGAGCACTCCCAACTTTGAGGTGATGACTACAGGTTCCCGGTTGCAATAGACAGTAACAAACCCCGCTTCTTTATATTCAGGAGATGTTCTGGACTCATATAGGGAAACTCGGGGTGGGGAATGAAGATAATTTTAAATGCAACAACCCAGAGTCACAGATCCATAGTCTGGGAAAGTAAAACTTAGGAGCTTTGAGAGTTTAATTGTAATGCTGTTTTGACACAGGTCTTTTGCAGATTGGAATTCTAATCATTCAGGGATTACCAATATTGTGCTACCTACTGTATTAATAAACAAAAAGGAAACTGGTCTCTATGAGAATCTCTGTGTGGTGGCTTCAGACAAAACTTCGCCAGGTTTAGAGAGAAAACCCCTGTCTCTACACCTCCATTCCCAGGGCGAGCTCACTCTCTGGCATCAAGTTCCCCGTGATCAGTTTCCCTACACAAGATCCAAGAGGAGAGGTAAGGAGTGAGAGGCAGGGAGTCCAGTTCAGGGACAGGGATTCCAGGAGGAGAAGTGAAGGGGAAGGGGCTGGGCGCAGCCTGGGGGTCTCTCCCTGGTTTCCACAGACAGATCCTTGTCCAGGACTCAGGCAGACAGTGTGACAAAGAGGCTGGTGTAGGAGAAGAGGGATCAGGACGAAGTCCCAGGTCCCGGACGGGGCTCTCAGGGTCTCAGGCTCCGAGGGCCGCGTCTGCAATGGGGAGGCGCAGCGTTGGGGATTCCCCACTCCCACGAGTTTCACTTCTTCTCCCAACCTATGTCGGGTCCTTCTTCCAGGATACTCGTGACGCGTCCCCATTTCCCACTCCCATTGGGTGTCGGGTGTCTAGAGAAGCCAATCAGTGTCGCCGGGGTCCCAGTTCTAAAGTCCCCACGCACCCACCCGGACTCAGAATCTCCTCAGACGCCGAGATGCGGGTCACGGCGCCCCGAACCCTCCTCCTGCTGCTCTGGGGGGCAGTGGCCCTGACCGAGACCTGGGCCGGTGAGTGCGGGGTCGGGAGGGAAATGGCCTCTGTGGGGAGGAGAGAGGGGACCGCAGGCGGGGGCGCAGGACCCGGGGAGCCGCGCCGGGAGGAGGGTCGGGCGGGTCTCAGCCCCTCCTCGCCCCCAGGCTCCCACTCCATGAGGTATTTCTACACCGCCATGTCCCGGCCCGGCCGCGGGGAGCCCCGCTTCATCACCGTGGGCTACGTGGACGACACGCTGTTCGTGAGGTTCGACAGCGACGCCACGAGTCCGAGGAAGGAGCCGCGGGCGCCATGGATAGAGCAGGAGGGGCCGGAGTATTGGGACCGGGAGACACAGATCTCCAAGACCAACACACAGACTTACCGAGAGAACCTGCGCACCGCGCTCCGCTACTACAACCAGAGCGAGGCCGGTGAGTGACCCCGGCCCGGGGCGCAGGTCACGACTCCCCATCCCCCACGTACGGCCCGGGTCGCCCCGAGTCTCCGGGTCCGAGATCCGCCCCCGAGGCCGCGGGACCCGCCCAGACCCTCGACCGGCGAGAGCCCCAGGCGCGTTTACCCGGTTTCATTTTCAGTTGAGGCCAAAATCCCCGCGGGTTGGTCGGGGCGGGGCGGGGCTCGGGGGACGGGGCTGACCGCGGGGCCGGGGCCAGGGTCTCACATCATCCAGAGGATGTACGGCTGCGACGTGGGGCCGGACGGGCGCCTCCTCCGCGGGTATGACCAGGACGCCTACGACGGCAAGGATTACATCGCCCTGAACGAGGACCTGAGCTCCTGGACCGCGGCGGACACCGCGGCTCAGATCACCCAGCGCAAGTGGGAGGCGGCCCGTGTGGCGGAGCAGGACAGAGCCTACCTGGAGGGCCTGTGCGTGGAGTCGCTCCGCAGATACCTGGAGAACGGGAAGGAGACGCTGCAGCGCGCGGGTACCAGGGGCAGTGGGGAGCCTTCCCCATCTCCTATAGGTCGCCGGGGATGGCCTCCCACGAGAAGAGGAGGAAAATGGGATCAGCGCTAGAATGTCGCCCTCCCTTGAATGGAGAATGGCATGAGTTTTCCTGAGTTTCCTCTGAGGGCCCCCTCTTCTCTCTAGGACAATTAAGGGATGACGTCTCTGAGGAAATGGAGGGGAAGACAGTCCCTAGAATACTGATCAGGGGTCCCCTTTGACCCCTGCAGCAGCCTTGGGAACCGTGACTTTTCCTCTCAGGCCTTGTTCTCTGCCTCACACTCAGTGTGTTTGGGGCTCTGATTCCAGCACTTCTGAGTCACTTTACCTCCACTCAGATCAGGAGCAGAAGTCCCTGTTCCCCGCTCAGAGACTCGAACTTTCCAATGAATAGGAGATTATCCCAGGTGCCTGCGTCCAGGCTGGTGTCTGGGTTCTGTGCCCCTTCCCCACCCCAGGTGTCCTGTCCATTCTCAGGCTGGTCACATGGGTGGTCCTAGGGTGTCCCATGAGAGATGCAAAGCGCCTGAATTTTCTGACTCTTCCCATCAGACCCCCCAAAGACACATGTGACCCACCACCCCATCTCTGACCATGAGGTCACCCTGAGGTGCTGGGCCCTGGGCTTCTACCCTGCGGAGATCACACTGACCTGGCAGCGGGATGGCGAGGACCAAACTCAGGACACCGAGCTTGTGGAGACCAGACCAGCAGGAGATAGAACCTTCCAGAAGTGGGCAGCTGTGGTGGTGCCTTCTGGAGAAGAGCAGAGATACACATGCCATGTACAGCATGAGGGGCTGCCGAAGCCCCTCACCCTGAGATGGGGTAAGGAGGGGGATGAGGGGTCATATCTCTTCTCAGGGAAAGCAGGAGCCCTTCAGCAGGGTCAGGGCCCCTCATCTTCCCTTCCTTTCCCAGAGCCGTCTTCCCAGTCCACCGTCCCCATCGTGGGCATTGTTGCTGGCCTGGCTGTCCTAGCAGTTGTGGTCATCGGAGCTGTGGTCGCTGCTGTGATGTGTAGGAGGAAGAGCTCAGGTAGGGAAGGGGTGAGGGGTGGGGTCTGGGTTTTCTTGTCCCACTGGGGGTTTCAAGCCCCAGGTAGAAGTGTTCCCTGCCTCATTACTGGGAAGCAGCATCCACACAGGGGCTAACGCAGCCTGGGACCCTGTGTGCCAGCACTTACTCTTTTGTGCAGCACATGTGACAATGAAGGACGGATGTATCACCTTGGTGGTTGTGGTGTTGGGGTCCTGATTCCAGCATTCATGAGTCAGGGGAAGGTCCCTGCTAAGGACAGACCTTAGGAGGGCAGTTGGTCCAGGACCCACACTTGCTTTCCTCGTGTTTCCTGATCCTGCCTTGGGTCTGTAGTCATACTTCTGGAAATTCCTTTTGGGTCCAAGACGAGGAGGTTCCTCTAAGATCTCATGGCCCTGCTTCCTCCCAGTCCCCTCACAGGGCATTTTCTTCCCACAGGTGGAAAAGGAGGGAGCTACTCTCAGGCTGCGTGTAAGTGATGGGGGCGGGAGTGTGGAGGAGCTCACCCACCCCATAATTCCTCCTGTCCCACGTCTCCTGCGGGCTCTGACCAGGTCCTGTTTTTGTTCTACTCCAGGCAGCGACAGTGCCCAGGGCTCTGATGTGTCTCTCACAGCTTGAAAAGGTGAGATTCTTGGGGTCTAGAGTGGGTGGGGTGGCAGGTCTGGGGGTGGGTGGGGCAGTGGGGAAAGGCCTGGGTAATGGAGATTCTTTGATTGGGATGTTTCGCGTGTGTGGTGGGCTGTTTAGAGTGTCATCACTTACCATGACTAACCAGAATTTGTTCATGACTGTTGTTTTCTGTAGCCTGAGACAGCTGTCTTGTGAGGGACTGAGATGCAGGATTTCTTCACGCCTCCCCTTTGTGACTTCAAGAGCCTCTGGCATCTCTTTCTGCAAAGGCACCTGAATGTGTCTGCGTCCCTGTTAGCATAATGTGAGGAGGTGGAGAGACAGCCCACCCCCGTGTCCACCGTGACCCCTGTTCCCATGCTGACTTGTGTTTCCTCCCCAGTCATCTTTCCTGTTCCAGAGAGGTGGGGCTGGATGTCTCCATCTCTGTCTCAACTTTATGTGCACTGAGCTGCAACTTCTTACTTCCCTACTGAAAATAAGAATCTGAATATAAATTTGTTTTCTCAAATATTTGCTATGAGAGGTTGATGGATTAATTAAATAAGTCAATTCCTGGAATTTGAGAGAGCAAATAAAGACCTGAGAACCTTCCAGAATCTGCATGTTCGCTGTGCTGAGTCTGTTGCAGGTGGGGTGTGGAGAAGGCTGTGGGGGGCCGAGTGTGGACGGGGCCTGTGCCCATTTGGTGTTGAGTCCATCATGGGCTTTATGTGGTTAGTCTTCAGCTGGGTCACCTTCACTGCTCCATTGTCCTTGTCCCTTCAGTGGAAACTTGTCCAGTGGGAGCTGTGACCACAGAGGCTCACACATCGCCCTGGGCGGCCCCTGCACGCGGGGGTCTCTGTGCATTCTGAGACAAATTTTCAGAGCCATTCACCTCCTGCCCTGCTTCTAGAGCTCCTTTTCTGCTCTGCTCTTCTGCCCTCTCTCCCTGCCCTGGTTCTAGTGATCTTGGTGCTGAATCCAATCCCAACTCATGAATCTGTAAAGCAGAGTCTAATTTAGACTTACATTTGTCTGTGAAATTGGACCCATCATCAAGGACTGTTCTTTCCTGAAGAGAGAACCTGATTGTGTGCTGCAGTGTGCTGGGGCAGGGGGTGCGGGGAGGGGGTTGCTGTAGAAAGAGGGATGGGGAGGGAGGGCACACAAGCAGCACTGCTGAGAAAAACATAGGCGGCCTCTATCTCAGTGTGAGGGGTCCTTGTGCTGTAGCTGCCACAAAACAGCACTTGGCCTGAGGCTATGTTAATAAAGATACTGCCTTCAAAATAGGGAGGTGCTCTACAGTGATCATTCATTCAACTGACCTTTGTCATTGGCCAGACATAGGACAGAATGGTTCTGCATCTGGGGAACACCACTGAAGTAAAATCAGAAAAATCTCTGGCCTTTTGTAGCATATGTTCCAGTGGGAAGAGGCAGACGATAGATACACTATAACCAGAGTAAGGAAGGAAAGTGCTAGAAGGTGGTAAGTGCTGTGAGGCAGGTGATCCAGGATGTGGGCAGTGGGGACAGGGAAGGTGGCTGTTGTGCTGGGTAGTCAGTGTGTGCCTTGTTGCAAAGGTGACTTTTGAGGAAAGATTTGAGAGACATGAGGATGTCTGGGGAAGTTCTTTCCAGGCAGAGGAAGCTCCAGTCCAAATGCACTATGGCAGGAAGGTGTCTGTGTTCCCAGAAGAGCAAGGAGGCCAGGAGGGCTGGACAGAGAGAAACTGAGGTGAGGTCAGAGGTGTGGCCAGAACAGGTGGGCTTGAGGGGAGTGGGGTTGGATCTGGCCTTTGCTCTGAGTGGGATGGGGAGTTAGAGG